>NC_000015.10:89471581-89623096 GCF_000001405.40 Homo sapiens | reverse complement strand
TCCCTGCCTTCTTGCAAAAATACGTAGTGAAAAGCTCCAACAGGTAAGGAAATCAATGCTTATCTTTCCTACAGCCTTCCTTCATCCCGTCAGGGGACTCTCAGTCTAGCTGGCATTTCCTGTTCAGTGGGGCATACGCAGGTGAAAATACAATGTGATTGGTGCAGTGACAGGGACATGCGAGGGGCATCACAGAACACAAAGAAGGGCTGCCTAACCCAGCCTGGATCAGGTCTTCAAGCTTGGGTGTCGGCAGGGGAAGGCAAACACAGGAAAAGTGGGTGGGGTGGTGGCGGCCTGTAGGCATAGAAAACAATACTAGCAAAGGCCTGGAAGTGAAAAGCAGTGGCTGTGCAGGATGGCACCCAGCCTGATGTTGCTGGGGAGGTGGAGCGGGGAGGGGTGAGGCCAGAGGGAACAGACCACGGAAGACCCTGCCTGCCTGGGGGAGGAGACTGATCTTGGTTGTGTAGATCTATGGTTTTCAGACCCTTCTCCAGAGCTCTATGTCTTTCCCAACCTCCAAGCAATTTACTGAGTTTCCAAACAAAGGTGATTATTTTTGAACCCAAGAGTTCCACTTAGGAAAACTTAAAGCCTTGCTTTAGCGGACGGGGAGTCTATAGAGCTTTAAGCAAAGTGAACATTTTAAGCAAACTGAGAGGAATGTTTCAGAAAGATCACTCTGACCTCTGGGTGGAGGATTTCCCTTTGAGAGGGAAAAGCCTGTTGAAGTGTTCCAGGTAGACCTGAACTAGGGTAGGAATTGCAGTAGGGGAGAAGAGGGGGTGGGTACAAGAGTCAGTTTGTAGGCCGGGCGCAGTGGCTCATGCCTGTAATCCCAGCACTTTGGAAGGCTGAGGCAGGTGGATCACTTGAGGTCAGGAGTTCGAGACCAGCCTGGCCAACATGGTGAAACCCCATCTCTACTAAAAGCACAAAAATTAGTTGGGCGTTGTGGTGGGTGCCTGTAATCCTAGCTACTTAGGAGGCTGAGGCAGGAGAATCGCTTGAACTGGGAGGCAGAGGTTGCAGTGAGCTGAGATCGTGCCACTGCACTCCAGCCTGTGCAAAATAGTAAGACTCTGTCTCCAAAAAAAAAAAAAAAAAAAAAGAGTCAGTTTGTAAATAAAATGGGCAGGACTCGACTGATTGGCTATGCCTGGGGAGAGGGAAAAGGATGACTCCCAGGTTTCTAATGTTGGTGACTGGATGGAGTGGGCAATCAAACGGAAAAGATGAGTGTCACACACTCCAGAAAGGTATCTGTGCAGTATATAATATAAACAGTAGACAAAGCCAAGAGAACAGATGAGATCCTCTCTATCTCCTCCTCCACCGCCCCCACCGTGGCTTCAGTCAAACCTGCTGCTTGAAGTTCCCACGTGTCTAATAATCATTCATGTGGCTCCACCCAGTCACCTCCAATCTCTAGTATTATCTAGAGGTCACCTGCTTTCTCTTCCCTAATGGACTCTGAGTTCCTTGGCCATGTCTCTGTGTTCCAGGAGATTATATTATTTCAAACATTACAGAAACATTATACCTGGTAAGCTGCAGGTACCTCCGAATCCAAAGTGTTTCTTGAACGCTTTTTCATTCGAGCTGAACCCTTTTCTGAGGGGCTGATCATCTCAGACATTGCCCCAAAAAGAAGACTCTTGGGAGACCGAATACTTTGGACTGGAGAATTTTCTCTTTGGTCTGCAAGTCAAAAACAGCAACAATATTTAATTCTTTCTCAATTCCTGTTCTTCCAATACTATTAAAACAGCCAGCCACGCATGGTGGCTCACGCCTGTAATCCCAGCACTTTGGGAGGCCGAGACAGGTGGATGGTCTGAGGTCAGGAGTTCGAGACCAGCCTGGCCAACATAGCGAAACACCATCTCTACTGAAAATACAAAAAATTAGCTGGGCGTGGTGGCAGGGGCCTGTAATCCCAGCTACTCAGGAGGCTGAGGCAGAAGAATTGCTTGAACCCAGGAGGTGGAGGTTGCAGTGAGACGACATTGCACCATTGCACTCCAGCCTGGGCAACAAGAGCACAACTCCATCTCAAAAACAAACAAACAAGGCCGGGCGCAGTGGCTCACGCCTGTAATCCCAGCACTTTGGGAGGCTGAGGCGGGCAGATCACTAAGTCGGAGATCGAGACTATCCTGGCTAACACAGTGAAACCTGTCTCTACTAAAAATACAAAAAATTTAGCTGGGCGTGGTGGCGGGCGCCTGTAGTCCCAGCTACTCAGGAGGCTGAGGCAGGAGAATGGCATGAACCCGGGAGGCAGAGCTTGCAGTGAGCCAAGATTGCGCCACTGCACTCCAGCCTGGGCAACAGAGTGAGACTCCATCTCAAAAAACAAACAAACAAACAAACAAAACATAAGAAAAACCCAGCCAGTTCATAAAAGAAAGAAGGCAACAATTTTTGAGAGCAACTCGGGAAAATCCCACCTATTTATGTCAGCAACTACAACAACTGCTGCCTTTTTTAATTTTAGTAAGACGGCATATTAACCCCAGCTCCTATGTTAGAAAATGTAGACAACTGAACTACTTTAATTTGTAAATATAAAAACACATATCTGGCTGGGTGTGGTGGCTCACACTTGTAATCCCAGCACTTTGGGAGGCCGAGGCAGATGGATCACTTGAGCCCAGCAGTTCAAGACCAGCCTGGGCAACATGGTGAAACCCAGTCTTTACTAAAAACAAAAAATCAGCTGGGCGTGGTGGTGCATGCCTGTAGTCCCACCTCCCTGGGAGGCTAAGGTGGGAGGATCACCTGAGCCTGGGAGGTTGAGGCTACAGTGAGCTGTGTTCGTGCCACTGCACTCCAGCCTGGGTGACAGAGTGAGACCTTGTCTCAAAAAAAGATAAAATAAGAAACACAAATCTATTAGCAAGCTAACCATGGATAGAAGAATGAAGAACGTAAACACAGATATCACCTTCCACCTAAGATAATGATGTGTAGGTTCTGTCCTTATGGGAAATTATGGGTAGCTTCCTCTTGAATGAATGAGCTACCTATAATGATAGCATGGATGACCAGTTGTAGGAGTCCTAGGGATGACTGATTACAAAGTCATGGACTGTCCATCTAGCCATCACCCTGAACCTCAACTAGACATACCTATTCTACTTCTCCAATGTCAAGAAAGAAAATGTCAAATTTCTTGCTTCTTTTCCCAAAAACACTTCTCACCAAGTCAGCACGGACTTGTGAAGGCAGAGGGGCCCGTATGTTACCTGACTTATCTTGCTGGAAAGAGTGGACTCTTTGCACACTTCGAGACTTCGGCTGAGACACAGAATAGAAGGAGGCAGAATGTGTCCTGCTAAATGACAACTGCTTGATTCGAGGACTTCGTCTCAGACTTATTTCTGTAAAATCAGAACCACAGTAAGTAACCAAAGACAACTACAAGCTTGACATTTTCTCATGTTGTCCAAAACCGGGCAAAATTTACATAGTACCACATATAAGATGGAAATTCAGCAAGCTATTAGCTTTAAGAGACTTCTGAAGTGTCTCTTAACAAACTAAGAGGGGTTTGATACATGGTCCCAACAAGGTATTAAAAAAACACTGACCCACTAGACTATTACCTTCAGAAGTCTTATTTACTGCCACCTTAAGAATGGTGTAGCCAGCCTGACCAACAAGGTGAAACCCTGTCTCTACTAAAAATACAAAAATTAGCCAGGTATGGTGGTGGGTGCCTATAACCCCAGCTACTTGGGAGGCTGTGGCAGGAGAATCGCTTGAACCTGGGAGGTGGAGGTTGCAGTGAGCGGAGAGCATGCCAGTGCACTCCAGCCTGGGCGACAGAGCAAGAGTCTGTCTCACCAAAAAAAAAAAAAAAAAAAGAAGAATGGTGTAGGGCGAAAACAAGTATTTATGTTAGGTTTCGTATGTATATGTTACATGCATTTATATAGAAATAATAGCAGTAAGAGTATATGCTAAAATGTTAGAGTATTTCTGAGTTGTGGAATTACCAAGTGCTTTAAAATTTTTGGCTTCATGTTTCCTGTTTTTTCCACAATAAATGTGAATTACTTGAGCAACTTAGAAGTTAGTTTTTTAAAACCCCTCCTTCATCATGTATACTTTTATTATTTTATTTTTTAGAGACATGGTCTTGCTCTGTCGCTAGGCTGGAGTGCAGAGGCACGATCATAGCTCACTGCAGCCTTGAACTCCAGAGCTCAAGAGATCCTCTCACCTCAGCCTCCCGAGTAGCTGGGACCATAGGAGTATGCCAACATGACCAGCTGATTTTTTAAATTTTTTATAGACACAGCACCTCACTGTGTTGCCTAAGATGGTGTCAAACTCCTGGCCAGTGATCCTCCCCACTTGGCTTCCCAAAGTGCTGGGATTACAGGCGTGAACCACCACACCTGCTGCTCACCCTCATTCAACATGTGCTTACTGATCACCTGCTATGTGCCAGGCACTGTGTGTTGGGGGCACGGAATACACAGATACATAAGGGGCAGCAGCAAAGATAATGTCTCAGAAAAGACACTCCCCAATAAAAAATTTCCCTGCCTTCTTGAAAAAATATGTAGTGAAAAGCTCCAACAAAGTTATATATACTTTTAAAATAAGTCATAGCACTTTGTATAACACAGTTTAGCCCTCATCCTGAATTTCATATCTGTTGTGCAAAAATATTTCTTTTCCAGAATTCTCTCAGTACCTTCTATGCAGAAGAACATTCACTTATAAATATTTACTGAGCTGCATTGTGGACTCAGAGCCATCACAATTTCTGTAAAATATCTTAGGATATGCCAAGTAACAATACATACAGAAAGGTTTTCATAGAAGCTGGGTAGATTGCATTAAAAACAAAAAGAGATAACACTCACCATCTCCTTTTTCAGGGGACTCTTCAACAACACCAATATCAGGACCAGGATCAGAGGACCTCGAGGAACCACATGCACAAGGATTACTCCATACCACTTGTAATTAACACTTATTAAGGAGACAGGCAGCTTCTCACTTAACAAGATCACAAAGATCACAGGGTCTGATAACACCAGTGCTGGTAAAGGGCTCTCATACGTGATTATTGTCAAGAGGGAGGCTGGCCACAGTGTCTCACGCCTGTAATCCCAGCACCTTAGGAGGCTAAGGCGGGCGGATCACTTGAGGTCAGGAGTTCGAGACCAGTCTGGCCAATATGGTGAAACCCCGACTCTATTAAAAATACAAAAATTAGCTGGGCGTGGTGGCATGCGCCTGTAGTCCCAGCTACTTGGGAGGCTGAGGCAAGAGAATCGCTTGAACCCGGGAGGCAGACGTTGCAGTGAGCCAGGATCGCGCCACTGCACTCCAGCCTGGCGACAGAGCTAGACTCTGTCTCAAAAAAAAAAAAAAAAAAAAAGATAGCTGGGTGCAGTGGCACACACCTGTAGTTCAGCTACTCTGGAGGCTGAGGTAGGAGAATCACTTGAACCTGGGAGGCAGAGGTTGCAGTGAGCTGGGATTGTGCCACTGCACTCCAGCCTGAGTGACAGAGTGAGATTCCTACTCAGAAAAAGAGTGAGATGGTTAGAATGTGGTTTTGTTTTGCTTTTATTTTTTGGAAAGCAATTTTACAACATCAGAATTATAAACCCCATTAATATATTAAAAAATTATACCAAACTATCAGACTATCACAGTAATGAGCAGCAACATTCAAGTTTCTGTTTAAGAGCCTTAATTTCTGCCAATGTGTCAAGGATGTTATAAAAAATTTAATTAAAAATATATATGCCTCTGACCCACCAATTTCACTTTTCGCAATTTAACCTATAAACTTCACAAGTGTGTAAAATCCATATACGAATAATGTCGAGATGGGTTTCTGACAAAATAGAAGGAGGTGTGCTTCTATTACCCTTGAAATCAAGCTAAAAACCCATGACATTATCTATACAATGAGCAGGAGACAATTCTGAAAGGCAGAGAGAAGAAGGCAGCCTGGCTGGGGACTTTGGGACCTGAGGAGGGCAGTGAGCTAGCTCCCTGGGTTTTCTGTTTGCTGCCTACACCCCTAGACTGGGTGCCAGAAAAGCTGACAACCCAGGTATACCAGGAGCAAACTACAGATGCCCCAAGGAAGGAGAGCTCTCAAGCCAAAGAACTAGGAAAGGGTCAGCCAAGCAAGACAGAAAACTTTCAGACAATAACAGCCCTACTCCAACCAATCGCTGCAGAAAAAACTGCAGCCCCACCCACACCTCTGTCAGCAAAGGCTGAGTTG
Source organism: Homo sapiens (assembly GCF_000001405.40). Taxonomy (NCBI): domain Eukaryota; kingdom Metazoa; phylum Chordata; class Mammalia; order Primates; family Hominidae; genus Homo; species Homo sapiens. The sequence goes on along the minus strand of NC_000015.10, from coordinate 89,616,825 downwards.
GGATCCCAGACTTCCACCTTCTCTATGTTCACAGATGAATGGATTTAAAAACCGTGGAGTATCTATTCCATGGAATACTTCTCAGCAATAAAACAGGATGAACTATTGCATGCAACAACATGGATGAATCTCAAAATAATTGAGGCCAGACAAGTGTATATTTTATATGGTTCTCCTGCTCCCATGGAGAGCTTATAGAATGCTCTTTGGTTTTAAGCAACATAGTTAAGATTTAAGTCATGAAGGTCAAGAGAAGCGAAGTAGTGGCCCACAAGGCCGCTTTGAGGTGGTGTGGGTGTATGAAGAAGCCCGGATGGGGATGTCACTCACCTGCCCTTGATTTGTCTGTGCAGCAGCCTTTTGGAGATCTGCTTATGCACTGGAGTCTCGGCCACACTCTTAGTCAGCAGTTTGTGATAACCTAAAATGTAAACACAGCTTAAATCATAAATTTCATTTAACCTCATCAAGAAGCAGCAGTAAGGCCAAGGGAGCAGTTTGAACTTCTGTATGGCTTATTACCTAGCTGGAGAGGATCTTAATGGTCTTTGGGCTAAGTTCTATGGTTACAGGACTCAACATGATAGAAGTTTGTCAGCACTATTAGAGATTAAAAAATGACATAAGACAATGTAAATATAGGCTGGGCACAATGGCTCATGCCTGTAATCCCAGAACTTTGGGAGGCTAATGAGGGCGGATCACTTGAGGTCAGGAGTTCAAGACCAGCCTGGCCAACACGGTGAAAGCCTATCTCTACTAAACATACAAAAATTAACTGGGCGAGGTGGTGCGTGCCTGTAAGCCCAGCTACTTGGGAGGCGGAGGCAGGAGAATCACTTGAACCCAGGAGGCAGAGGTTGCAGTGTGCCAAAATCATGCCGCTGCACTCCAGCCTGGGCAACAGAGGGAGACTCCATCTCAAAAAAAAAAAAGACAATATAAATATAAAATTTTATCTAATAAGCAATCCTGAAAAAATGAAAATTGCTCACTTGTTAAGACTAACACCTAGTTGGTGGTTCTAGTATTTATGATTAAATGAAATATGTGAAAATGCCGATATGCCACATAAATGTTAATTATTAAGATAAACGTAGGTGGCATAAAATTTCTTAGTAGAGTAGGCAGCCAAGCTACTTATGAGAGGACTGATTTAAAGTGAGCTTAAAATGATTAGTAAAGAGGAGTGATGCCAGTAAGAATGGTGAGGTAAGGACCTCTGAACACTCTCCTCCATAAAGGAACAGAGATCACTGGGAAAAATGGTCAAAAATCTTTTCCAGAACTCTGAACATTAATTAAAGGTTTGCAACAATCTAGGGAGTATTTGTTCAAGAAAAATGGTTGAATCTCAGGAAGCTTTAACTTGCCTTAGTCCCTGCCCCTTCCCCCTAGCCCTACGGTAGCTTTAAAAATCAATTTCCCACAATCACAGTGAAAACCAACAGCCCAGCAGCCTCTGGACAGGGCAGAATGGGGTTGGAGCTCCTCCAAAACTCCATTCTCAGATAACTGTCATCCATTAACCTGTCTGGCAGTTCCCTGGAGAATCCTACTCAAATCAAGGCTTGTCTTGCTTTGACCTGACTCAGAACTCATACAGTGTAAACCACCTTTTTCCCTGACAGCATTTACTGAAAACAATCAGCAGCAATTGTTAAATGTTACAGCTGCCTGAGGTGGTGGTAACATTTGGTGCAATAACAAGCTGGCCAAAAGTTTAATTGGGAAAATTGGGGAATGAGACATCACAGGGGACTTTGCAAATCTCTGATGACATTCTTAGGCATCCAAAAGTCCACACACGTGTAGCACTGTGCATGTGCCGAGGATAGACTTGAGAAGCCTGTAAGCTGCCACCTATGGCTAACCTTGAGGCTCTGGCAAAACAGAAAGTGAAGTGGAATTCTAAACTGCCTGGCTGAGTGTTGAAGGCATGACCCAACACACAGAGCCCCTCAGTAGGGGCTGTGAAACTTATGGGTTCCAGGCATTTAAGGAAATCTCTGTCCAATCATTAGTTGACCACTAAGACCACTGAGCAGAGGCTTTAGTGGCCACACATGATAAAGAATACAAAATTTAAACAAATAGTTTAGAAAAGTGACTAAACAAAAACAATAACAAATCCTGGCAGGGTTGGGGTGGATCTGATTGTTACAGCTGCCTCATTATATTGTTTAAAATATCCATGCTGGGTGCAGTGGCTCATGCTTGTAATCCCAGCACTTTGGGAGGCTGAGGCAGGCGGACTGCTTGAGTCCAGAAGTTCAAGACAAGCCTGGCCAACGTGGTGAAACCACATCTTTACAAAAAAATACAAAAATTAGCCAGGAGTGGTGGTGCATGCCTTTAGTCCAGCTAGCTACTTGGGAGGCTGAGGTGGGTGGGAGGATTGCTTAAGCCAGGAAGTCAGGGAGTTTGAGGCTACAGTGAGCCAAGATCATACCACTGCACTCCAGCCTGAGTGACAGAGCAAGACTCCATCTCAAAAAAAAAAAAAAATCCAGTTGTCAACAAAATTATGAGTCATGCAAAGAAACAAAACAAAAAAGTATGGCCCATACACAGGGGAAAAAAAATCAGCCAACAGAATCTGTCCCTGAGAAAGTCCAGACATTGGACTTACTAGAACAAGACTTTATTTATTTATTTATTTATTTATTTTTGAGACAGAGTCTCGCTCTGTTGCCCAGGCTGGAGTGCAGTGGCGTGATCTCGGCTCACTGCAACCTCTGCCTCCTGGGTTCACGCCATTCTCCTGCCTCAGCCTCCGGAGTAACCAGGACTACAGGCGCCCGCCACCACGCCCGGCTAATTTTTTGTATTTTTAGTACAGACGGGGTTTCACTGTGTTAGCCAGGATGGTCTGGATCTCCTGACCTCGTGATCCACCCGCCTTGGCCTCCCAAAGTGCTGGGATTACAGGCGTGAGCCACCGCGCCCGGCTAGAACAAGACTTTAAATCAGCTGTTTTAAATATGTTCAAAGAACTAAAGAAAATCATACCTAAAGATCTAAAATATGAGTCCAATGACTTGCCAAACAGAGAATATCAACAGACGGAAAAAAAAAAAAAAAAAAAAAAGCGAATAGAAATTCTAGAGTTAAAAAGTATAACAAAAATGAAAAGTAAATTTGAGGTGGCAAAGAAAGAGTCAACAAATTTGAAGACAAGGTTAATTGAGATGATCCAGTCTAAGGAAGATAAAGACAAAAGAATGAAGAAAAATGAACAGAGCTTCAGATACTTGTGACACCATCAAGCACAACACACACATACCGGAAGTCCAGAAGGAAAGGACAGAAAGGAAGAGGCAGAAAGAACATTTGAATAAATATTGGCTAAAAATGACCCATATTTGATGAAAGACACTACACATCTAAGAAACTCAATACAAGTAGAATAAAGTGAAAGAGATCCAAAACCAGACAAATCATAATCAAACTATCAAAAGTGAAAAAAAGAAGATCTTGAAAGAAGCCAGAGAGCTATTCATCGTGTACAGATCCTTGATGAGATTAGCAGCTGCTTTCTCGTCAGAAACAAAAGACAAAAGGCAGTGTGATGACATATTCAAAGTGCTGAGAGAAAAAAGACTGCCAACCAGGAATTCTATACCCAATGAAAGTATTCTTCAAAAATGAGGAGAAATCATCACATTCTCAGAATGAAACAAAATAAAACAGAATTTGTCATTAGCAGACCTACACTATAAATAATACTAAAAGGAGTCCTGTGGGCTGAAAGGAAAGGGCACTAGGGTAACTCAAGTCCACATAAAGAGTTAAACAGCATTGGTAAAGGTAACTATATAAGAAAAACATTATAAAAGTGTTTTTTATTTGTAACTGTTCCCCCCTGTTATTTAAAATACAAAGTAATGATTATAAATCAGTGTTGATGGGCATACAATGTATAGATGTAATTTGCATGACAATATAGAACTAAGAAGGGATAGTCAGTAGAACTATACAATAGCAAAGTTTTTATAAACTGTCAAAGTTAAATTGGTATCAATGAGAACTAGGCTGTTATAAGTTAATATCTTAATTGTAATCTCCAAGGGGAGTGAGGTTATGCAACATGATGGAGAAGAAAGCTCTAGGGGTCAGTCCCTCAACCCAAATAACTAGTAAACTAGAAAAAAAGATCAGAATTCACTATTTTGGAACCTGGCAACTTGATTGAACACCTGTAATAACCTAGGAAGTGCTTGATGATGGGAGAGACTGATGATCTTTAGGAAGGGAATGATGTGCATGAACTGGCTACCATTTCCCTTTTCTCATCCCTGCTGTAGCTATTGGGATAGCAGCCCACATTCCAGGAGCAGCTGGCTGGTGCTAGGGCAGACAGTGAAGACCTCGTCCTCCAAAAATTGGGGGTTGCATGCTTTGGTCAACCAGGCAGATTCCTGTAGGAGCAGTGCAGACACTGCCTTGGTTTCAGCTCTCTTAGGCTACAGTGGGTTTCTCCCAATTATCAGAAGTTTAAGGGACAGACACACCTTCCCCCTCCTCGTTTCTTGAATCAGACATTTAAGGAAATCCTTCTTAGGTCATTGGCTGACCACAGAGATAATAGACAGAAACTTCAGTGACCACACACAACAAGGTATACATACTTTACACAAATAGTTCAGAAAAGGCACAAATGAATAGCTGAGATCCTTAATAAGCAAAGAACAGGAATCCCTGAGGGGTGACAGGATCTGACCTCCATGCAGTTACCACATTATAATATCCCTAATAACTAGTCCTCAACAAAAAACTACGAAGTATACAAAGAAACAAGAAAGTATGGCCTATTTACCAGAAAAGAGAAATTTGGCAAAAACCGTCACTAAGGAAGCCAAGACATTGGAATTACTAGTCAAAGATGTTAAATCAACTTCTCTAAATATGCACAATGAGCTCACTTAAACCATATATAAGAAACTAATGGAAATCAGGAAAATAATATATGAACAAAATGAGAATATCAATAAAGCAATAGAAATGATAAAAAAGAATCCAGTAGAAATTCTGGAGCTGAAATGAAAAAACTAACTAGAAGGGTCAACCACAGATTTGAGCTGGCAGAAGAATCAGTGAACGTGAAGATAAGGTAATTGAAATTATCCAGCCTGAGCAGAAAGAAAAAATAATTAAAAAAAAAATGAACAAAGTCTGAGGGACCTGTAGGACACCATCAAGTGTACCAACACATATATCATGGGAGTCTAAGGAGGAAATGAGACCAAAAGTGGCAGAAAATTTTTTGAAGAAATAATGGTTAAAACCTTCCAAAAATCTGATGAAAGACATGAACATATACATCCAAGAAGTTCCACGAACTCCAAGCTGAATAAACTCTAAGAGATTCACACTGAGACACGTTGTAGTCAAAGTGTTGAAACCCAAGGACAAAGAGAGAATCTGGAAAGCAGCAATAGAGAAGCAGCTTAATAAGATTAATAGTTGATTTCTCATCAGAAATTTGGGAGACCAGAAGGCAGTGGATGTCACATTTGAAGTCCTGAAGGGGGAAAAAAAAATTGTCAACCAAAAATTCTATGTCCTTCACAAATAAAGTAGAAAGTAAGACATTTCCAAATAGATAAAAGCTGAGGGAGTTCATAATCAGTAGACTTACCCTGTAAGAAAAGCTAAAATGAAAGGTAGTAGACAATAACTCAAAGCCATGAGAAGAAATAAAAAACAACGGTAAAGGTAACTAGACAGATAAATATAAAAGCCAGCATTATGGTAATTTTGTTTTTTTTTTAAACCCTATATAATTTAAGTCTGTATTAACAGGTACACAATGTATAAAGATGCAGTCTACAACAATATAAAGAAGAAGAGACAGAAATACATAGTAGCAGAGTGTATATTATTGAAAAGAGGTTGGCTTTATTCATAAAGCCAGGTTCTTTTAAGCTTAAGATGCTAACTGAGGTAACCAGTAGCTGGGTTAACCAAGGTAACCACTGAGAAAACAACTTAAAAATACACAGAAAAAGAAAGAATGGAATTAAACTAGTATACTACAAAAAATCAGCTAAATACAAAAAAACAGGAATTGAGAAACAAAAAAGCATAAAACATAGAAAATGACAGTTGTTCCTTATTAGTAATTACATTCATAGAAGTGGATTAAGCACTGCAATTGAAAAGCAGAGATAAGAAGAATGGATTAAAAAAACATGATCCAACTCTATGAGGTCTATAAGATATTTAATTTAGATACAAAGACACTAAGGTTGAAAGTAAAAGGACAATGAAAGATATCCTATGCAAAAGAGCTGGTGGGTGGGGAGCTGTATTATTGTCAGACAAAACAGACTGTAAGCCAAGAAAGATTACAAAACACAAAGTACATTACCTATTGGTAAGAAGTTTAATTGATCAAGAAGACATAATAATTATTGACATATATACTTAAGTACAGAGTCTCAAAATACATGAAGCAGAAATTGACAGAACTGAAGGGAGAAATAAATAATTCAACAATAATAGCTGGAGACTTTAATATGCCACTTTGAATAATAAATAAACAATAAAACAGAAGCTCAACAAGGAAACAGAAGACTTGAATAATACCATAAATCCACTAGACCCAACACACATCTATAGAATGCTTCACATTCTTCTCAAGCACACATTAAACATTCTCCAGGATAGACCAAATGTTAAGCCACAAAATAAGTCTCAAGTTTCAAAAGACTGAAATCATACAATGTATGTTTTACAACAATAGAATGAAACTAGAATAAGCAGAGAAGAGAATTTAGGAAATACATATATGTGGAAATTAATGCGCTCCGAAATAACCAATGGATCAAAGAAGAAATCACAAGGGAAATTAGAAAATATTTTGAGATGATGAAAACAAAAACAAATCATATCAAAATTTATAGGATATGCCTAAAGCAGTGCTTTATTAAAAAAGATCTCAAATCAATAGCTTAAACTTCACCTTAAAAAAGTAGAAAAAGAGCAAACAAAAACCAAAGCCAATAGAGGGAAAAAAAAAAAATGAAACTGAGATTAGAAAACCAATAGAGGCCAGACGCGGTAGCTCACACCTATCTCAGCACTTTGGGAGGCTGAGGCGGGCAGATCACTTGAGGTCAGGAGTTGGAAAGCAGCCTGGCCAACATGGTGAAACCCCGTCTCTACTAAAAATACAAAAATTAGCCGGGTGTGGTGGTGCACACCTATAATCCCAGCTACTGGGGAGGCTGAGGTAGGAGAAGCGCTTGAACCTGGGAGGCAGAGGTTGCAGTGAGCCAAGATCACGGCACTGCACTCCAGCCCAGGAGACAGAGTGAGTGAGACTCTGACTCAAAAAAAAGACAAAGAAAACCAATAGAGAAAAAACAATAAACCAAAGTAAATTCTTTGAAAAGATTAACAAAATTGACTGGGTGTGGTGGCTCATGCCTATAATCCCAGCAACTGTGGGAGGCCGAGGAGGGCAGATCGCTTGAGCTCAGGAGTTTGAGACTAGCCTGGGCAGCATGATAAGACCATGTCTCCACAAAAAAATTTTAAAAATTAGCTGGGTGTGGTAGTGTACATCTGTAGTCCCAGCTACTCAGGAGGCTGAGGTGGGAGAATCACTTGAGCCTGGGAGGTGGAGGCTGCAGTGAGCTGAGATTGCGCCACTGCACTCCAACCTGGGTGATAGAGCAAGAACCTGTCTCAAAAAAAAAAAAAAAAAAAAAAAAAAAAGATTAACAAAATTGACAAACCTTTAGCTAGACTGAAGGAAAAAAGAGGGAAGAAGACTCAAATTACTAAATCAGGAAAGAAAGACGGTACATTACTACTAATCTTACAGAATCTCCCTTTCCTTTTTCCTAGCTATTCTGAAATGTGGTACCTTTGTTCTTCTTGAAGTTGTCAAGTTTATCCTCTAGACCATCCACAGCTGACACAGAATGGCTTCTAGGCAACCCCCGCTTTAGTGATCTCTTTGAAGGGGAAAGCAATTCCTGGTTGAAAAGATTTCTTCGAACTTTGGTCACTTCTGAAAGCATCAAAAATTAAAAGAAAAAGAAAAACCCAAAGATTATCATCAATAAATGCCGTATCTGAGAAAAGATAACCAAAACAGAGAAGCTCCTTGAGGAAACTACAGATTGCTATTGTCACATATGCTAATAAGGTTTCCTTAAATAGCATATTCCCATAATGCATTAAAAATATTTACTTTTGCAAATTAAAAAAAATTTTATATGTTATTTTGCATGAGGTAGGGGTCCAATGTCATTCTTTTGCATGTGGATATCCAGTTGTCTCAGCATCATTTGTGCAAAAGACTATTCATTCTCCATCAAATTGTCTTGGTACCCTGAATATCAGTTGACCATAATAAATGCTAGTGCTAATTTCTTTTTTAAAGGCTAGATAGAATTCAGCAGTGAAAACTTCTAGTCCTGGGCATTTCTTTGTGAGTAGTTTTTTGATAACTAATTCAAACTTTTTACTTGTTATAGATCTATTCTGATTTTCTATTTCTTCTTGAGTCTGTTTTTAGTAGTTTGTATCTTTCTAGGAGTCTGTCCATTTCATCTAGGTTATACAATTTGTTGGTATACAGTGGTTTGTAGTATTCCATTACGAATTCAATTTAAATCTAACTTTTCAGGAACACAAGGAAGGCCCCCACCACTTATTGAGTTAGAAGCTACTCAATGTAAGATGGACATAATTCTTAAGTAAGAGGATGGCTAACATAGGTCATCGTCCTTTTAATATATCCCATGTTATGATTATTTTTCTCACTTTGGACATTTTTGCTGCTGTGTATTCAGCTCAGCATTGAGCAAAGAATTGTTCAATTCTATAATTTCTTTCTTCTTCTTCTGACTACTTTACTAAGCTGCTGGGACATTTTAAATTTTATTCTTGACTCCAAAGCATGAAAGTTCTCATCATCTAGACTCAAAGTTAGAAAAAAATAGCTGAAAAGTCAAGAAGTACGTGGCAAAGCCAGCAAGACAATACCTTAATCTTAAGATAGTCTGGTGGAAGTGATCCAAAAATTCACCAAGGGTGAATTCTTCAAAGATTAATCATTTAAACCCAAACCAAATAATCTAGGATCCACAAACTGGGAGCAACCCTTGTGTTTACCCATCAATGACATAAAGGTTCACATTAAGGTTATTAAGGACATCAATAACACACACCAAAGTTTTAAAAATTGTTTCCTTATCTCCATTATAAGAGTTCCTGTTACCTAACTTAGGCTGTTGGTGAAATTGATTTATGACCTGAAAGCCAAATTTGGTTTGTTATTCTCTATTTTCCCAATGTTTTGAAAAGCTTAATTTCTATAGCAAGTTTCAAATAATAATAAAATTAAACATACGCCCATCACTAAAGTTCACCAACTGACAATATTTGTTTTCTCCTTCCTTCTCTCTGTATGTACGTTATTCCCCTAAACACTGGAGAGTAAATTGCAAACAACTGTTCACTTCCTAAAGGTCAGCATGTATCTCCTAAAAACAAGGACATTCTCCTCCATAACCCCAACGCCATTATTACACTCAAAATATCTTTAGCATTGATACAATATTATCTAGCATACACCGCTTCTTCAAATTTCTCTAGTTGTCTCAGTAATATCCTTTCTAGTATTTTTTTCCCTAAATTTAAGATCCAAGCAGGGATCATGGAATGCATTTAGCTATCATGCTTAAACTCCATTCATCTGAAACAGTCCCACTGCCTCTTTTCTTTTTCCTTTCTTCCAGCTTTCATGATGTTTTTTTTAATTTTGTTTTTGTTTTTAAAGATTTCAGACCAGTTATTTTGTAAAATACAATATTTTGAGACTATTCCTAGGGGACTATGTCCATGGTATTTGGACATATTTTATTAGCCAACAATCATACAAAGCCTTAATTTACACCTGTAAGCAGCTGCTTAAATACATACAATAAAAATAAAGTTGTCATGCTAGTGAATAAATACATACACTGAGAAAACAGTATACCTTGCACTGTATCTTTCACTGGCTGGGAAGGCTGCTGAGGAGCAGGGTGAGAGTTCTCCTGAAACATGAGAAAATCCAGAAAGAAAATTTAAATAGGCATTCATTGAAATAAAAGAATAAAGATTTCACATGAACTCTTTGACTCTTGTAATTCATTTATAGGGATCCATAATAGAAATAATAAAATGTACAACAGAAATGTTCCAAAAACACTCAATGCTGCACTATAGTAATAACACAAAATAAAAAACACTATAAATGCCCATAAAGAGTGAAACAGTTAAATAAATTACATACCCATCCAATGCAGACATTACAAGAGTAAGGAAGGAAGACCTCTCTATATATGGTTGAGCATCCCTAATCTGAAAATCCAATATGCTCCAAAATCCAAAACTTCATGAGTGCCAACACAACACTCAAAGGAAACACTCAGTGGAGCATTTTGGACTTCTGGATGTGGGGTGCTAACCAGTAAGTACATGTAATGCAAATGTTCCAAAATCCAAAAACATCTAAGAATGGAAACACTTCTGCTCCTAAGCATTTTGGGTAAGAGATACTCAACTTGTACTAACATAGAGATCTGTGATAGGGAGGAAAAAGGAAAATATTAAGTATTCTAAGTTATATCATTTATATATATGTATATAACGGATCTGCATAAATCTTTGGTGTTATTGGTGCATATAGAAAAGGGCCTGGAAATATACACAACAAACTATCATCAGTGATTACTTCTGATGAATGGATGGAGAAGGAACACCCTAACTTTTAACTTTATATGTTTTAACTTTTTAACGATAATCATGCATACCTTTTATACCTAATAAGGGAAAAGCCATATACATTAATTAGAGGGAGGCTATACTCTCAGAAACATTTCTTTATCAGACTGCTATGTACTTGCTATTACAATAGAAGATTCAAGAGTCTAAACCCCAGATGCATCAAAACAAGGAAACTGTTTTTTTAAAGATTTTTTGTTTTTTCAATTCATCATAATAATTGAAGAAGCCACCACATATGGGCAGAAACTTAACAAATGGTCTCAGTGATATAACCAAGGTCTTGCTGATAAGACATGAGATGTGATCATTCTTACTTATATTGATTAATAACTCTTATAAAGAGATAAACTATAATTGTAAAAATATGTCACACATCCGGCTGGGCGCAGAGGCTCACGCCTGTAATCCTAGCACTTTGGGAGGTCGAGTGGGCGGATCACGAGGTCAGGAGATTGAGACCATCCTGGCTAACATGGTGAAACTCCATCTTTACTAAAAAATACAAAAAGTAGCCAGGCGTGGTGGTGCACGCCAGCTACTCGGGAGGCTGAGGCAGGAGAATGGCGTGAACCCGGGAGGTGGAGCTTGCAGTGAGTCGAGATCGTGCCACTGCACTCCAGCCTGGGCGACAGAGGGAGACTCCATCTCAAAAAATAAAAATAAAAATAAAAGTCATACATCCAATTTCCTATCCAGGGTTCAGTAAACTACAGTGTACAGACCAAATCTGGGCCACCTCTTGTTTTTGAAAATAAAGTTTTTACTGAAACATAGTCATGCTCGTTTCTTTCCATAATGCCTGTAGCTGCTTTTCCACTATAGCAGAACTGAATAGATGTTGCAGAGACGTATGGCCTGCAAAGGCTAAAACATCTACTATCTGGCCCTTTACAGAAAAAGTTTGTCAACCCTTGTTAATCCATGTAATTGAATGAAAAACTAGGAGAGTATGTCCTGAAGGTATTAAGGCAGGATCAAATATTTTTTTTTTAATCCTTGTGATCTTCTGGAGTTAAGATACGTAAAAGAAATTAATATACATTAATGTAATTAATACTATATGTCTACGCTTAAGTTGTAAGTTCACTGCTTCCCGAGTTAACTATATTGGTCCTTCAGAGAACTGAGATTTATTCTTTTAAAAATGTAACATCTGGTCCTTTCAGTTAAACAATTGTCACTTATCTATGGTACCAACTTTGACATGAAAAAACATTACTAACCACAATCAAATCCTGACCTCAATTTTTTTTTTTTTTTTTTTTTGACAGAGTCTCTCTCTGTAACCCAGGCTGGAGTGCAGTGGCTTCATCATAGTTCATTGCAGCCTCAAACTCCCAGGCTCAAGCGATCCTCCTACCTCAGCCTCCCGAGTAGCTGGGACTACAGGAGTGCACCACCATACCTAATTTTTAAATTTTTTGTAGAGCCAAGGTCTCACTATGTTGCTTAGGCTGGTCTCCAACTCCTGGGCTCAAGTGATTCCTCCTGCCTTGGCCTCCCAAAGTTCTGGCATTATAGGCATGAACCACTGCGCCCAGGCGTTAATTCTGATCTTAGAGAAGAAAACTGTCTTGTCCAATCTAAAACCAAAGTTTCAAAGTGTGCTAGAAAGATCTGCAAATCATTGTAAAATCTAGTGAGAATAAAGGCCTGGCAACTTTTGGCCATTCACTTTCGGATTTTCCAATCTTCAATCAGGATTGTGAGATATATAAGATATGCATTTTATTCACAAAGTATAAGAAAGTGAACACCATTAACCATTTAAAAGAAATCCCACCTCCAATTCCAAAGGACTGCTACAAATATCTAGAAACAGAACAAACCACTATTATAATAATTAATGCTTCTAAAGATAGTTCTTATTGAATTTTAACTCTTCTCAGATAGTTCATGCAGTTGAAAAGTTTCATTGTGTTTTTAGTCTCCCTTTTTTCCTCAGCGAGACATTAATTCTACTTAGTAAACAGATTCCAGCTAGGTTTATTTTTTTTTCAACCAATAAAAACCTCAAGTCCTTATATCAACTGCCATGAAAAAAACAACAATAGTACCCCATTATCTGTGATTTCACTTTCCATGGTTTCAGTTTCCCATAGTCAACCATGGCCCCAAAATGGGTGAATATAGTACAATAAGATATTTTGAGAGGAAGACCACATTCACATAACTTTTATTATATTATATTGCTATAATTGTTCTATTTTACTATTGTTGTTAATCTCTTACTGTGCCTAATTTACAAATTGAACTTATGCATGCATAGGAAAAAACAGTACTATATATAGGGTTCAGTACTATCTGTGGTTTCAGGCATCCACTGGGGGTCTTGGAACATATCTTCTGCAGATAAGGGGCGACTACTCCACCTCCTGGCTCCATGATGGTCATCATCTTTTTCAAAAAACTTGTTATTCATTCATTTATTCATTCATTAATTCACTTAAGAGATGAAGTCTTGCTTTGTCACCCAGGCTGGAGTGCAGTGGCACGACCATAGCTCATTGCAGCTTTGACCTACTGGGCTCAAGCAATCTCCCTGCCTTAGACTCCTGAATAGCTGGGCCTACAGGCATGTGCCACCATGCCTGGCTAATTTTTTCTTAATTTTATTTTTTGTAGAGACAGGGTCTCGCTATGTTGTCCAGGCTGGTCTCAGACTGTTGGTGTCAAACTATCCTCCCTCCTCTGACTCCCAAAGTGCTGGGATTATAGGTGTGAGCCGCTGTGCCTGGCCTAAATTTGTTATTAAAGTAAAATATAACATATTGAAAAGCACCTTCTGGTATGCAACCAAAGTCCACTTACAATTGTATATTCTCTTCCAGTGACTGCTTTGCTTATTTTAGTTATTGTTTTATGAGTTTTCCTATCTACATTAAAGATTTTGAATTAATTCATTCCTAACTTTTACTTGCCATTTTTCTTCACATTACCTCTAACTATCACACTCTTGAGTAAAATTGTTAATCTCTTGACAAGTTTATATTTCTTTATTCCTTGGATTATAGTTTTATACACATTCATAAAAATATTTAATATTATTTCTGTATCCTCCAAAGTTCATTTTCCTAAAAGTAGGGACACTGCCTTTTTGTTCTTATTTACTGTGTCATCTCAAGCTGGAAGGTTTACTTACTTTTTTCGTAGCTCTCTTTGACACTTTAGGAATTTCAATTTGTCGAAGATTCTGTGAAACCTCAGCAATGCTTTTATGTCTTATTAATGCATTTTTCCTTTTAAAAATAGAAATAGTTAATACATACTAGATAGAGGTTATATATAGTTAAATTCAAATGGAACTGGAGTCTAAGTAAAATAAAATATGATTTAAATAAAAGCCAGTTATCTTAAGGTTGTTCTGGGTTTATAATAAAACAAGTCACCCCAGAATTTTCAAAAGTAACAAATTCAACCAGTTATGAACAACGAAAAGCATCAAGGGAAATTTAAAAAGCTGAAACTCTAAGCTTATTTCATAGAAGGCCTAGTTTCTGGAGACCTCATGTGGACAGTAAAGAAGACTTTGTGAAATAGGAAATAAACACTATACAGTCATGCAATGTTTCCTTCAATGACGAACTGCATATATGACAATGGTCCCATAGGTTATAATGGAGCCTATATAGAAACCTAATAAATGACACTTGATATTGGCATTACAGATCAAGTAGGGGAAATGACTGCTATTCAGTAACAATGCTGGAACATTAGCTTTTCCATATGAAAAAATATACATAAATGAAAAAATATATACTATCTAGGTTTTGGTAGGCACACTCTGATGTTAGTACAACAAAAATTGCCTAACAATGCATTTCTCAGGATGTATCCCTGTTGTTAAGCAAAACATGACTATATATTTCCTAGATAATATAAAGATTGTCAGATGCTCCTATTAGGAGCTCTAATAGTTGGCTTCTCTGATTCAGACATAAGGGCAGCTATTAGTTCAACAAATTATATGGACAAAGATGACTGGACTGTAGTTTAAACACATCTTTTATCAGAACTATAACAGTGCAAATAATTCCTTTGATTCTTTGACCTCTTACCTTCTCTTCTTGGCTGATCTGGTACGAAGTTCCTGCAGTTCATCAGATTCAGGGCTGCCTGACACTGATCTACGAGCACTTGACAAAAAAGGCACAGAAAGAAGTGGTGATTTGTTCTCTTGTGTCATGGAGTCATCACTGAAAAAATCTGTAGGAAGGACACCAGCCAGCTTCTGAGGAATCACAAACCCTAGGCTGTTGTAAAGATTTCCAAGTGTCTTTGGGATAGAGTCAATATACCTGTGGAACAGATTGATCGAATACGGAACAGTTACCATCTTACCCTCTCTATTCCCTCCCTCACCCAGCCTAAAAAGTAGTCCTTACAACTCCAAAATTCAGAGACAACACCATACATAGGTTTTGACAAAACAATTTTAAAGTTAAGTTAGTAACCATCAAACTTACAATCTCAAAATTTCCTCCAGAAACTCTGCTAGGTACGCTGAATCCTCAGTTAAACACACCATGCGCAGCAAATCTGTCACCTGAAGGAGATTTTAGAACGTTACTATATAGATGCCCTCTGCAGGGAAGCTGAAAGCATCTAGGGCGTATTTCAATGGCACGAAACTATATACTTGCCTCCTCCACTACTTGTTCCATATCATCTGTACTTTCATTTATTGAAGGGCATTGCAGACACATCTCCAAACGAAGAAATACCTGAAGCTGGCACCTTGAGAGAAAAAAATACTTGGTCATATCTACTTTGGATGTCACTAAACAAAAAGCTCCTTCCGTAAGCATAGATCTATTTATATAAGACACAACAACCAAAAAGGAGGAGAGCCAGTGCCTTTTCTAAAAACTGATGTAGTTATTAGATAAATAGGTGATTCAAGCTGCATATTATAACATAAAAAAGAATTGGCTACAAAAGCATCTTCATGCAGTTGGTAATCTTTTTTTTTTTTTTTTTTTTTTTCCTGAGACAGGGTCTTGCTCTGTTGCCCAGGCTAGAGTGCAGTACTGGGATCATAGCTCACAGTAGTCTTGAGCTCCTGGGCTCAAACAATCCTCCAGCTTCAGCATCCCAAGTAGCTAGGGCTACAGGTGTACACCACCATGCTCACCTAATTAAAAAAAATTTTTTGGTAGACACGGTCTCACTATATTGCCCAGGATGGCCTCAAATTCCTGGCTGCAAGCAATCCTCCTGCTTTGGCTTCCCAAGGTACTAGGATTACAGGCATGAGCCACCATGTCACGAACAATCTATTTTAAACTGATACGAGCTAATCTCACAGCTTTTAGAGTGATGATTTTTTAAAAAATGGTAGTTACTTACTCTCTAACTTTGTCTTCCTTATCCAGTTTTTTTCCTAGATTCTGTCGAAGACTTTTACTAGTTTTTAAGAGACTACTTTTTACTTGATTCAGGCAGTTCACCTAAAAATACAAAATTATTACATAGGAGAATAGTGTTACTTGTCATTATTTCTAATTTCTTTCACAGTTGACTAAAGGGAAATATATTCCCTTATAAACTTCTCTATTCTTTCATTTGAATGAAAAAGTGACGTGAATATTCTTCTTTTATATCTTTAAAAAGAACATGGTAAAAGTTATTTTGAGAGCTAGTGGGCATGGATAAAACAAGCCTGCCCTAAATAAAGTGTCTTAAAAGAAACGTTCCATAAAGCAGTGCTTAAGAAACCTAAGTATCATAAACAAATCCTCCTGTTTGCTTTAGAGAAGGAGCTCCGTGATGGCCACTGAACATGAATAAAACAACAACACGGTCTAAAACAGTGGTTTGCAACACTCCCAGTGCAAAAGGATTATCCAGGGGGCTTTTTAAAAGCGCCAACCCCAGAGATCTGTTTCAGTTCATCTGGAGAGAGCAAGGCATATATATATATTCTTTGGAGATGGAGTCTCGCTCCGTTGCCCAGGCTGAAGTGCAATGGTACGATCTTGCCTCACTGCAACCTCCACCTCCCAGGTTAAAACGATTCTCCTGCCTCAGCCTCCCGAGTAGCTGGGATTACAGGCACCTACCACCACATCCAGCTGATTTTTGTATTTTTAGTAGAGACGGGGTTTCACCATGTTGGCCAGGCTGGTCTCAAACTCCTGACCTCGTGATCCACCCACCCTGGCCTCCCAAAGTGCTGGTATTACAGGCGTGAGCCACCACGGTTAGTTGGCATATATATATTTTTTAAATGCTGTAAGTGATTCTAAAGTATAGCCAGGGTTAAAAACCACTGGCTTAATCATGCAGCTAACATATAGCTCACATGAGGAAAGGCTTTTCATTAGGAGAGAATTATATGTAATTATCCCCGCTCACCCCATCTCTTTGATTTCTGCCTTACCAGTTCACCATATCCACCTTCTGAGATCTGGAACTGTACTTACTCCCTTACTTATCTTACCATTTTTGAATCACATATGACATAACAGACATTTTCCAAGACACTAACCAAATCCACCACCAACCAACCAACCAACCACTACATCCATGACAAACAACAATATCTGGACCCTCTTACTTCTAATTCCTTGGTGCCTTTTGATTTTAGGAACATTTTAACGGTTGAGATCATGTTTCGAGCACATGCATACAACATGATTTCTCCTGTGGCCACAGTCTTTTGGTAATTTTCACGTATATATGATAGCAGCTCTTCCTCAGTTTTAAAATCTGAGAAAAAAATAAAATAAAATGGATTAATCATATCTTGCTCAAGTCCTTGTATTACTTAGGCCAGTTGTTGTCCACTGGGGAAAATATTTCCTTGCAGGGAACATTTGGCCTTGTCTGGATTGTCATGACTGATGGTGGTGGGGGCGGGGGTGGCTGCTGGCCATCTAGTATGTAGGAGCCAGGGATGCTGTTAAACATCCTACAATACATAGGACAGCCCTACAACGAAGAATTATCTGGTCTAAAATGTCAATAGTCCAGAGACTGAGAAACTACAGAGATAAGTGATTAATTTTATTTCATTTTATTTGAGACAAGGTCTTACTCTGACAATCAGGCTGGAGTGCAGTGGCACAATCTCGGCTCACCACAACCTCCACCTCCCAGGCAGGCTCAAGTGATCTTCCCACCTCAGCCTCTGGAGTAGCTGGGACCACAAGCATGTGCCACCACACCTAGCTTATTTTCTGTATTTTTGGTAAAGACAGGGTTTCACCATGTTGCCCAGGCTGGTCTTGAACTCCTGAACTCAAGCCATCTATCCGCCCTGGCCTCCCAAAGTGCTAGGATTACTGGCATGAGCCACCATGCCCAGCCAAGTGATTAATTTTAAGGCTCTGTATACCAAGTTTAAGTGTTAAAAATTTAAAGGTAGGAGGCCAGGCGTGGTGGCTCACGTCTGTAATCCTAACAGTTTGGGAGGCCGAGGTGGGTGGATCACCTGAGGTCAGGAGTTCAAGACCAGCCTGGCCAACATGGTGAAACCTCTTCTCTACTAAAAATACCAAAAATTACCCGGGCGTAGTGGCGGGCGCCTCTAATCCCAGCTACTCAGGAGGCTGAGACAGGAGAATCACTTGAACCTGGGAGGCGGAGGTTGCAGTGAGCCAAGACCGCACCATTGCACTCCAGTCTGGGCAATAAGAGTGAAACTCCGTCTCAAAACAAACAAACAAACAATTTAAAGGTAGGAAGAAATAAAACTGTCTTTGGTGATATGACATGATTAGAAAATCTGAAAGAACAAACAACAAAACTCCTGGAACTGGGCCGGGTGTGGTGGCTCACGCCTGTAATCCCAGCACTTTGGGAGGCTGAGGTGGGCAGATCACGAGGTCAGGAGATCGAGACCATCCTGGCTAACACGGTGAAACCCCATCTCTACTAAAAAAAACAAACAAACAAACAAACAAAAAACTCCTGGAACTAACAAGTGATTATAGCAAATTTGCAGGATACAAGATTAATACATAAAAGTCCATTGCTTTCCCATATGCCAGTAATGTACAAGCAAAATTTAAAATTAAAAACACATTACCATTTAAATTAGCACCCCCCCTAAATATGAAATACCCAGGTATTAAATCTAACAAAATTTGTATAAGATCTATATGCGGAAAACTACAAAATTCTGTGAACAAAATCAAAGAACTAAATAAGTGGAGAGATATTCCATGTTCACAGCAAGAAAGACTCAATACTGTCAAGATTTCAGATTCCCAATTTGATCTATAGATTCTATGTGATCCCTATCAAATAAGTTATTTTCTGCATATTGACAAACTGATTCTAAAGTTTATATGAAGAGGCGAAAGACCCAGAATAACTAACTCAATATTGAATGAGAAAAACAAAGTTTGAGGACTGATAGTACCAACCTTCAGGACTTACTATAAAGCTACAGTAATCAAGACAGTTTGTGTGATATTAGCAAAAGAATAGAGAGATCAATGTAACAGGAGAGCCTGGAAATAGACCTACATAAATATAGTAAACGGATTTTTTTTTTTTTTTTTGAGACAGAGTCTTGCTCCGTCACCCAGGCTGGAGTGCAGGGGCGCAATCTCGGCTCACTGCAACCTCTGTCTCCCGGGATCAAGCGATTCTCATGACTCAGTAACCCCAAGTAGCTGGGACTACAGGCGCCTGCCACCACGCCTGGCTAATTTTTGTATTTTTAGTAGAGACAGGGTTTCACCATGCTGGCCAGGCTGATCTCGAACTACTGACCTCGGGTGATCTGCCCGCCTCAGCCTCCCAAAGTGCTAGGATTACAGGCATGAGTCACTGCACCTGGCCTCCACTGATCTTTGACAAAGGAGCAAAGACAATACAATAGTGGAAGACTAATACAATCATCTTAGCAATAGATAAAAGCAGCAGAAAAAAATTACTAAAAATGTTGAATATTCAAACATTAATAAACTTGATGTACAGACACGTATAAAACCAGATATTCAACAATTAGAGAATACCCATTATTTTCAAGTGCACATTAGGTCAGTTTCAGCAAATATTAAAGAATCAATCTTACAGACCACATTGAGCACAGTTCAAAAATATTAAAAGCTAATTATAAAACACTCCCTTATATTATGGATGTCAGAAAATATTTATAAATAAGTATCAATGAAAATAGAAAACAGTAAATACATAATGCAGTTAGTTATACTTAAAGAGAAAATGTACAGACTTTAGACAAGTGATTATTTTTGTAAAGCAGACAAATTAAAAACTATTAACTATCTAAGGGTCCAACACGTGAAGTAATATGAGAGAGTAAACCCCAAAAATAAAGGTAGGAAGGTAATCATAAAGAACAGAAATGAATTGAAAACAAAGCAACAACAGCAATCAACAGAAACAAAAGACGGTTCTTTGAAAAGCCAAATAAGGCCAGGCGCGGTGGCTCACACTTGTAATCCCAGCACTTTAGGAGGCCGAAGCAGGCTGATCACCTGAGGTTAGGAGTTCGAAACCAGCCTGACCAATATGATAAAACCCTGTCTCTACTAAAAATACAAAAATTAGCCGGGTGTGGTGGCATGCGCCTGTAATCCCAGCTACTCGGGAGGCTGAGACAGGAGAATCGCTTGAACCCGGGAGGCAGAGGTTGCAGTGAGCCAAGATCATGCCAGTGCACTCCAGCCTGGGCAAAAAGAGCAAAACTCAGTCTCAAAAAACAACAAAAAAAGAAAAGAGGAATAAAACAGAAAACTCTATAGCAAGATTGAGCAATTAAAGAGAGAGAGATGGAAGGCATAAATATTAAAAATAGCAGGAATACAAAATACTATTAAAAGTAAGGTCTAATTTTGTTTCCATAAAGGTATCTAGTTGTTCCAGCATCATTTATTGAAAAGATTATGTCTTTCTCACGGAATTATTGGGGCATCTTTGTCAAAAATCATTTGCCCACTATTGTGCAGGTCTACTGCTAGACAGAATCTAGTCCAGAAATTATGTTCCTGCCACACTGTCTTCAGTACTGTTGTTTCAGCCTTCCCTTGCATGTATCAAGCACATTTCACACACCTTTACTAGCCCACTAAAGGTGTTCTGTCCCATTCAAACTGATTATCATCTATGGCTCTCACATTCCACAGGAAAAAAAAAAATCTGTAAAGCAGCATAAAATTTACACCTCAGAATTTTCTTTCTTTTTTTCTTTTTCTTTTGAGACAGAGTCTCGCTCTGTCTCCCAGGCTGGAGTGCAGTGGTGCAATCTCGGCTCACCACAACCTCCGCCTCCCTTATCTTTGTAGCTAGATCATAAATCTAAGAATAGCACATTATCTTATTATTTACTGTATTCACCATAACACCTTTTTGTGCATGTAGCAGATAGTCAATAAACTAAGGGTACGATTAAATTTTATTTTTAAAAAAGCGGGGTATAAAAGAGTAAATTATAGACTAAGAGGAATACCTTTAGGTTTAGAACTTCTTAGTGTTCTTCCTCTGTCTTCCAATTTATCCACTGTTCTCCCACTAGGTATCTTTTGGATTCCTTTCTCCCCAGCCACATCCGGACTGCCATCTGGATGTAACTTCTGGGCCTTCACATTCAGCCTTGCGACATTCAACATCTTTAAGGAACGGCACATGGTATTCATCTTCTGTCTCACTGGAGTACGAGGGACCCCTCCTACCAAAACAACATCAGAGGAGGGAAAGTAAATTGCCTTCCACTTCTGTGGAAAGAAGAACTACTTTAATTCAGATTACTGTGAAAGAATATCAAAATGAAGCATATCCCTCCAGAATGATTTGAATTAGGAAGTTCTTGCATCTCTTTCTGCCCACACACAGGGTAGAAAGAGAACCTTTCTTTTAACCGAAGTTTAGGAACTAAACATCTCAATGTGATTGGATTGGAACTAAACATCTCAATGGATGGTTTTCCCATAAGGCAAATGCCAAACAGACTTATTTTGGTGTTACCCAATGGCCACGAAAAATGGTGATGAAAATTTCTGAATGACAATTTAGCAATCTACATAAAGAGCCAGTTTTCATACCCTGACACAGTAACTGGTTCCTGGAAACTTCTGCTAAGGTAATTACTTAAAAAACAAATTATACGCATAATGTATACTACAGTATTATTTATAATGATGAAAACTGAAAGCAATCTAAATGTTCAACAACATGAGAATTTTGTAAATTTAGTTAAGCAATGAGATGGAATAATATCTAAAAAGGCAAGGTAGCAAAAGAAAAAATACTAATAAGCAGAACACAAAGTTGTATTTGAATTTCTATCATAATTAAAAATGAAGATGGCTTATTCATTAGACAGATAAGACTGGTTGATTTTTTAAAAATCACTATTGAACTAATGTAATTATTTTAAAATTTAAATATAAAAATTTGCCCTTCTTTATTTAGTTACCATTTCAACCTCATTTCAGGAAATGCCCATCTTTTAAAACATACAGTCTCAAAAAAGAATGCCTTAAGAAACAGCCTTTCTAGGTACATACGTTTCTTTTTGCTGTCTTCTTGATGAGCTATAGTGGATTCTTCACGAGATTTTCTCTGGTAGAGCTCGGCAAGGCAATGTATTAATTCGCCTTCAGTTTTGGAAGACTCTTCCTTATTAGCTGAGGCAGCCTGTAGTAACCTGTGAAGTCAAGATGTCTAGAATAAAACCAACATTCTAATTTTGCAAAATGCTTTAGAAATAACACCAAAATACCCACTATCCTCTAAAAAGCTAACCAAAAAGATGTCCCCACAAGATGCCTTCAAAAATATATTTTCTTAGGAGAGAAAATGTCCCTCCTCTCATTTTCGATTTGAACGAATGCAGGAACCAAAGCTGTCTTGTTCACAAAACCATTAACCATTACATATAATATTGACTTTTATTAATAGGATTCTTCATGAATTAGGATGCAAGTCTAATTATGGCAACTATTTCACTTCAAGCTTCCATAGTTATTTTTTACTCAGTTTCCATATATCAAAGTACAAAATGATGTTAACACATTGTAGTAAGTATTGCAATGACTTCGAATAATTCTTTCACATTGTAATAAACTAATTTGGGATTGATGAGAAGAGGAGGAAGTAGGGCAGGCAGGAGGGGTGATTAGTTATTAAATCCTTTTCCACCTAGAGCTAAATATCTGTCATTAAGGAAATTATGAAAATGGCACAACATTCAAAATGTGTTATTTGTATTTTAATATTTTCCATTATCTGATATAACTGATTAAAAAGTGCAAGAAAGTTACGGTGATATTAGTTGAACAGATATCACAGGGTGGAATATGTGTTGGGTCTATCAGCTTCATTCATATAGCCAATATGAAGCAGATTAATCCTCCCTAAGTGTGTGGTGCTCTGTCGCCCATCCTGGAGTGCAGTGGCGCGATCTTGGCTGGCTGCAACCTCCGCGTCCTGGATTCAAGTGAATCTTGTGCCTCAGCCTCCCAAGTAGCTGGGACTGCAGACATGTGCCACCACGCCGGGCTAATTTTTTTGTATTTTTAGTAGAGACGGGGTTTCACCATGTTGGTCAGGCTGGTCTTGAACCCCAGGCCTCAAGAGATTCACTGGCTTGGCTTCCCAAAGTACTGGGGTTACGGGTGTGAGCCACCATGCCGGGCCTGGATTTTCTATAAAGACAATCATACTATCTTCAAACTCTTCAATATTTACATCTCATAAAAATACTTAGAGATAATTTTAAAAAATAACATGGGCCACATTTGTACATTAAAAACTACAAAACACTGAGGGAGATTAAAGAGAGACCTAAATAAATGGATAGCTGCACCATGTTCATGGATCGGATGACTCAACATTGTTAAGATGTCAGTTCTTCCCAAATTTATCTATGATTCAATGCACTCCTAGAGTTTCAACAGATGTTTGTGTGCGTGGAAACTGACAAGCTGGTTCTGAAGTTTATATGAAAATGCGAAGTATCTAAAATAACCAAAAAAATTTTAAAAAAACGAAACCAAAGTTTAGAGGACTTACACTACCTGATTTAGTGACTGGTGCTATAAAGCTACAGTATATGGTATTGCTATAATGCAATATTGAAGATAATGTGGTATTAACATAGTTTCTGGACTGTATTCTGTCTAGAAATCAATCTGCACAAAGGTGGCCAGTTGATTTTTGACAAGGTACCACAGTTATTAGTGGGAAAAGATAGTCTTTTAGCAAATGGTGTTGGAACAACTGAATGGATATATGTGTGGAGAAAATAAACGTCAACCATACCTCTTAATAATAGTTTGAATTTCTGCCATATCGTTTACATTTCTAATATTGTTCGTCTTTTAATTGCTTGATCTTGCTATAGATTATTTTATTTGGCTTTTCAAAGAACCATCTTTTGTTTCTCTTGATCACTTACATTTATTTGTTTTCTATTTATTTCTGTTGTTATCTTTTGTAGGGTGGAGGTTACTTTCTTATTTACTTCTCATGTTGGATTCTTAGTAATCGGTTGTTAACTTTTTTCCTTACAAAAACGGTCTGCAAATACTTCTTTAAGTATAAATTCAGCTGCATTATTCAAGTTTGCTGTTTTCTATTTGCATTGATACTTAGTTATAAATATTTTCTCACTTTAAGGGAGTATTTATTTATATTTAACTTGACGAATTACTTTGGTAAATTTTAAAGAATTTTTGGCAGGTATATATTTATATATTGTTAACATATTATCTAGCTAACATACTCTCACAATATATATTAAGTATGAGAGTATTTTATTTTTGTAACTACTTTTTAATATTATTAGACTATACTCAGAGAATGTGGTCTGTTAAGAAAAAAATGCAGATAACTGAACGTTGATTTTAATAATCAATATTCAAGAGATATAAAAACGTTTTACCCAAATGACTCCATCAAATCGGAACTGGCACCACTGATGTTACAGAAAGGAAACCACTTTTCCACAACAGCTGGACTCCAGGGAGTGGTGTGGCCAAGCTCCTGCTGGGCCCACTCTGGAACAGGAGAAGCTATTGGAGCAAAGGAGCAGCGGCAGGAGAGGAAACAGCATGAGAACCAAAGCAGAGAATTCTAAGCACTTGCTCCTCCCCTGGACTGACTGCATCCCTCCAAAGGACATACAAAGTGCACAGTTAACATTTGTTCTCCGGCACCACAAACTGCTACAGGCCTATGTGGTAAATAAAAAATGCTACTGAAAAACATACAGACACAATTTAAAGTCTTTTGTTCTTATTACTGGCTATAAATCCTCTCATTTCTGAAATGTTCCTCTAAACAGGTTAAAAATATATATTGTTCTTCTTTTTATTTATTTATTTTTTTGAGACAGAGTTTCGCTCTTGCCCAGGCTGGAGTGCAACAGCACGATCTTGGCTCATGAGCCGCAACCTCCGCCTCCCGGGTTCAAGCAATTTTCCTTCCTCAGCCTCCTGAGTAGCTGGGATTACAGACACGTGCCACCACACCCAGCTCATTTTTTATTTTTAGTAAAGACGGGGTTTCTCCATGTTGGTCAGGCTGGTCTCGAACTCCTGACTTCAGGTGATCCGCCTGCCTTGGCCTCCCAAAGTGCTGGAATTACAGGTGTGAGCCACCGTGCCTGGTCCTGTTCTTAAAAATGGCTTTGTATGGTTGGGTACGGTGGCTCACGCCTGTAATCCCAGCATTTTGGGAGGCCGAGGTGGGTGGATCACCTGAGGTCAGGAGTTTGAGACCAGCCTGGCCAACATGGCAAAACCCCGTCTCTACTAAAAGTACAAAAATTAGCTGGGCGTGGTGGCAGGTGCCTGTATTCCTAGCTATTCGGGAGGTTCAGGCAGGAGAAGCTTGAACCCGGGAGGCTGAGGTTGCAGTGAGCCGAGATCACGCCACTGCACTCCAGCCTGGGTGACAAGAGCGAGACTCCGTCTCACACACACACACACAAAAATTGGCTTTGTACAAGAATAAATATACAGTAACAAAACTGCAGAATATCACAGTTCTGCTGCACTGAGTAGGAAAATTGGAAATAAGAAGATGTGGCTCTGTATTGGGGAGTGTGAGGGTAGAAGGCTCTCTTAAAATAAGCCTGATGGAGGAGGTGGTTGGGGGAACAGTAACAGAAATTTCAGTGAACTCTGTAATTCTGAGAGATCCATCTAAGACCCCAGACAAATGAAATGTTAGACATTAATGAAGTCTTGGGGAAAAAAACCCAAATACTTAAAATGTATTCAAACTTATTGAGACAACCAAGTTCTAGGCTTTCTATCAGTGAAAGAATTCAGAGATAAATACAATGCATACTTCGAAAGGAGCTCCCAGTATAGGAAGAGTAGATCCACTCTTGTGAAGTCATGGAGATACGTATAAATGTTAGCACATGCTAACTCCGTCTAGATGGGCAAGGAAGGTCTCATGGAGAATGCAGTATTTGGGCTAGGTACCAATGCATGAATAGGACCTCACCCAGATGGAGCATGGTGGGGAGACTGGACAATAAGCCGGCACACTGATTTATAACCTGGAAGAAACTGTGGGCCATGCTACAGCAGAGAGTACTGGTAAAATACTGCAGTTCTTCCTTTACCAGATTCCAAAATACAGTTTTCTGAGCTGCTTCCAAGACTATATAAATAGTCAAGATACAGTCTGTTCTACAATACAAAATTTTCTACAAATAGCCTACACACAATTGGTAAGTAAGGTAGTGACAGTAGTACAAAATATTACGTTGCTTTGGTTATGTGATCATTCCTAATGTGCTAATATTTTATACCACCAAGTAGCAGCTGAATTCAAAGTGCACAAACATAACTAAATACAACAAGCCAGAGGAGCGCAGTGCTGTACACTACGTCCTTTCAACCCGTATTCTTCTCCTTTTCTTCTCCTTGGCTGTTTGGCCACGTGCACTTTCTTGAAAGTGCTTATGATATAGTTCCCTATCTTTGTCATTGGCCCCTGTCTCCATAATACCACAGCCTCAACCCTTCCATCATGCCATCTTCACCTTTCTTTTAAAGGACAAGGTATATTTATTATGGACTTTACTTATTATGGATTTAATGTGTCTTTTAATCAAACTAGAATTTTTATTAGGATTGCACTTTTTTTTGTTGTTTTTAATTGAGACAGGGTCTTGCTATGTTGGTCTTGGACTCCTGGGCTCAAGCGATCTTCCTGCCTCAGCATCCTGAGGAGCTGGGATTACAGGCATGTGTCCCCACACCCAGGATTGTCTTAGTTTTTATCACTACCAAAGATTTTGAGAAGTCTGCCCCAACTGTAGTTTTCCCAAAGCTATTATTTTTAGTGTAAGATTTTGTAGAATTTTTTAAACAAGCAAAAGAAACTTCACATCACAGGACAGCATAAATGCCTATAATTGCATTTGCTGTTATATTACAAAATTCAGACAAGTGCAGTAAAGGTCTATGAGAATAAACATGACATGATTTCTTCTCAAGTCGTTGTATGCTGGATTAGGGGAGAAAGGCCAAAAATACCTGCCTCAGGCCTCCAAGTCTCAAGCCTCCCTCTGCATGGAAAGAGAGTGCCCCTCAGAGTTACCTGCACCTCTTCCAGCAAATGTCAAGCAGGAGCCCCATGCTAAAAACAAGGCCACCCTCCACTGGCCGCCTGGGCAGGGCTTTGGAGGGAGCCCTAGGCCCTCGGAGTTAGATGCCCTCCTTCTAGTCTCCACGCCGACATGGGCAGGAGTGGGGGTGGGCCAAACACCCACCCTTCTTACCCCCCAAACTCACAGGTTCAGCACCATTAGCTGCGTTGAAACCATCAGGAATCAATCTCATGCTCCCCTTCATAGCTGCTTTTTCCCGTCAGGCGAAGCCCTAGACCCCCAGGTCACTCCAGTCTGCCCACTGGAATCTCCTCACTGCTCCTTCCGTCTCCCATCCTGGCACCACAGCCTAGCCCTTCCACACGTAAAATCCTCCCACCCTGCCCTCTGGAACTCACTGACCCTCATCAGCAAAATCCCCTATGTCCTCAATTCCATCTCCTCCTGCCCTGAACACACTGCTTCCCCTGCAGCGCTGGAGAGAGCTTGCTGTTCCCCCGCCATGCTCTTTTTCCACTTGGCCCTGAGGTGGGCTGGTATCCTCCTTGCCTCTTCCAGATCATTTTCCCTCTACCTGCTGAAAATAACGACAAAAATCCAGCTTTGAGTCTCACATCAAAGGCTACACGCTCATAGTCATCTAACAAGCCTGGATCATTCCCCCTTACTCCTCAAAGACTGTTAGCTCCCGACTCACCACCGTCAGTCTCTCCAGTACTACTCAGTCTTAACTCTGGATAACTTCCATACACACATTTGATGCTACCAACACTCTGGCCTTTGTCCCCTTGAATTCCTCACCTCTGGTGCCCCAGCGTGTTGCCCTCCTTCAGTCACTCTCTCCCCCTGGTCACCACCCTCTATGATCTCAAGCACCCCATTCTGACCACCTCCACCTATTTTTTAGCTCTCTCCTTTGAGCAGATTGGCTCCAGAAATCCTGAGACCCCTATAACCCATTGATCTGATCGCCTGTCCTTCCGTTGTCCTCACTTCCCTCCTTACCCTGCCTCGTTCCATGGACAAATCCTGTAATCTCTTCCTGTTCACACTTTTGAATCCCTGACCCCTCTCTAGCTTTACCACCCTCATTTGGGAAAATCCCAACCCTGGTTAATCCAGCTCCCTGCCTACTCTGCAGCTGTGCCAGCTGGTGAATGTGGCTGGAGGCAGGCAAGCCCACAGAGGGATCTCACTTTACCTTCACGACTATCCCGGCAAACTTCCTCCACCTTCCTGCTATCTTCACCCTCTCAAGAGCCACTTCCTCCTCCCCTCTCTCCTCAGCCTCCAGCATCTCCTTAAGTCTTCATTTTCAGCTGATGATGTCACTTCCTAACTCACTAAAAAAACTGAAGCAATCGGAAGAGAACCCCGTACACTCACACCAACATCACTCACCTTGGCATCCCAGCCCTTACATTTTTGCCTTCCCCCAGTTGTCACAGATGAACTGTGCTTGTTCCCAAGACCAACCCCTCCACTTGCACTTCCTCAAAGCCCTCTAACTAGCAATTCTCTCCATCCCCTGCATTAATTTTTACCATATTATCTCATCAACATGCAAGCAGGCTATTATTATTTCTAAAAATCAAAACCAAAAACCTTGACTCTTCTTCCCTCTCTAGCCACTGTTTTCATTACTCTAATATCTTTTAGATCAAAACTACTCCAAAAAATTGTCCACACTTGCTGTTTTCCTCTTTTCACAGTCCCTCCTGAACGTATTCCCACTCACACTTCTACCCTCACAATTCCACCAAAACTAGTATCACAACCATCACGTTGTGATGGTATCCCGAGCATCCACATTGCTCAGTTGAATGTCAGCTCCCAGCCTTCATCTTCCTTGGCCTGTCAGTAGTAAATAACCCAGCCAAGCATTTCCTGTCTTCACTTGGCTTCCAGGGTACCACAATCTGGGTTTTCTTTAACTCAGCGACTGTCCCCCTTTTGTCTCCTTTGCTGGTTTCTCTCTCCTCATTCCCCAGACTGCTTAACATTAGGGTGCAGGGGTTAGTCCTTAGTCCCCTTCTCTTTCCCATCTACGCCCACCCCCATGGTGATCTTAACCCATCTCATGGCTTTAAAACATCACTGATGACTCCCATCATCTCTAGTCCAGACAAATCTCCCAAACTCAAACATGCATAGTTGATGCCTACTCAATACCATGTGTGGATGTCTAATGAACAACTCAGACTTACCATGCCCAAAACAAACCCTCCAGTCCTCACCACCCCAGCCCCTGGTTCTCCCACAGCCTTCCCTATCTCAGAAAGAAACTGCTTTCTACCAGTAGCTTAGGGCAAAAGTCTCTGGAGTCACTTTCAATTTCCCTACAGCTCACTCTACACATTTAATCTAACAGCAAATTTTGTTGGCTTTACCTTCAAAATATATCCAAGAGCTCCAACTACTTCCAACTCCCTACATTTCCCACCATCTCTTGCCTGGATTATTGTAATATGTCTGACTGGTTCTATCCTTGCCTTTCTATAGTCAAATCTCAATATGGAAGCCAGAGTAATGCTGTTAAAACATAAGTCAGATGGTGTCACTGCAGAAAATCACCCAAAGGCTTCCTCTCTCACTCACAGTAAAAGCCAAAGTCTTTTCAGTGCCTGTAAAGCCCTGCCCAGTTTGGTCTGCTGCTGGCTCTCTGACCTCACCCCCTCCTACTCTCTCCTTGCTCCTTTCACTGCAGCCACAGGCTTCCCTGCCATTCCTCTAACACCCTTCTGAGCCTTGGCACTCGCTGTCGCCTCTACCAGCAACTCCCTGCCATCACTTCCTTCATGCCTTTGCTCAAATATCATTTTTTCAGCAAGGCCTTCCCTGACCACCCTACTTAAAATTGCAACCCTCCCTACCCTAACACACCCCATTCCTTTGTTTCTGCTTTACTACTACAATTTTTGTCTCTTTAGACTAAACCGTAATTTTCCTGACTTATTGTTTTGTCTCCCTGGACTAGATGGTCAGCTCCATGGGAAGACATCTTTGTCCATTTTGTTCTCTAATATAGTCCCAGTACTTCAAACAGTGCCTGCCATACAGCAGGTACTCAAATCTGTTGAATGAATGAATGAATTAAAGAAATATCAAGTTGATTTTATATATATATATATGTATACGTATATTTAAATCTACCTAGCTTACATAAGGTTTGTAATACTAACATGATACAAACCTTATTTATGCTAGGTAGATTTAGTAGTAACAATGCATTTAGTTGCAATGCTAGTAGTAACAATGCAATGCAGGGTAGACAGAATCACTACAGTTTTATATGCAGTATTTCTTAAATATATTAAAAACCATGACTTCGATTTCAGACTGGTTTCATGGAACCTGCAGCCTCCTCAGAAGTACTTAAGGAATTCTATAAATAATAATGATTTAAACTGCCTGAAGTATTATAGCTTTCTTTCATCTGTGTTATAACATATTGGGGTTCTACTAACTGCACAGTGAAAAAGTCCCGATGCTTGAAAAGACTGCAAACCACCCTAGACTCTGTTAGTTACTAGTTTAGGAGCTTACCAGCAGAAGCAGTATCTGCAAGCGAATCATGAGTCTGATTCAATATACTATCCACAACATCTGAGAAAAGGGAAGCTGTGTCCCGGGGGCTGTCAGCCACAGCTGTTTGGAGAACATGTCGTTGAAATTCAGCCTCCTTGGTGCGGCACACAGTGAGGATCATAGCACTGGCAGAGAGTGGGGAAATAACTCCAGTGATGGGGGGCCGGCCTTCACCAGGGTCCACATCAGCAACCTACGTGAGAAGCCCTAATTAGTTGAGAATATTATTGTCAATATGCCTAAAGAAGAATGTAGTGTACTAAAAGACAGAATAACCATTTTCCCAATTATTATTAACGTGAAAACTATGAAAAAGATAGATTTGATCATTAATAGAGGTAGAAGGGAATTTATTAATCACAGAGTCCTCATATTTCTACTTACAAATAAGTAAAACCTGACATTACCAGGAATATTTACTAGGTATTTACTATGTGCTTACTGAATCCTCACAATCGCCCTGAGGTAAAAATAATTATTATCCCCATTTTATAAAGGAGGGATTGAGGCTGAGGCAGAAGTAACCTGTTAAAGCCACCTACTTAGTAAGAGAAGATGCCAAGCATATGTGACTTTGAAACCCATGTACTTAACCATGAGGCAGAAATACCACTTGAGTGATTTATCCAGAACATACAGTAGGCAGCAGAGCTGAGACCTAATCCAGATCACTGACTCCCAAACCCAGTGCCCTTTTCCTCAGAGCACACAACTCTCAGAACAGCATCTGTCCAATGACTACCGTATTTTTCTCTAGAATATTTTACAATGGGAACCAGAATAGAGACCCCTCCTGAGAGTATGAAGGCAAAAGACAAAGTAAGGTAAGGAATTTGCTGGTAGTTTAAAAATAATTCTCACCGTTAAATCAAATCTGGGTATGTATATGTTCCTTTTCAGAAGACATTTCTACATTTGTGTAACTACTGTCCAACTGCTGAGTTACACAGACAATTATATTACATTGTATATAGTTACACAACTATTATACTATTACATCTAATTTTACTGTGTAGCAGCTTTTTCTTAAATACTTATATAAAAGTAGTAAATATGTAACAGAATATTTAAAAAACAATGAGAAATCACTCATCACATTACTACCCTAACATAAGCACTTCATCTGGCCAACTGCCTTCTTCCCTATGTGAATATAATTTAACTTAATTGGATTCTTGGTACATGCAATTTTATAAGTGATTTCTTCTCTAATAAGCATTGCTGTCATGATACTATAATGTCAACAATATTATTTGCAAAAGCATAATCAGTTTTACTAAGACTATATTGTGTAGGGCATTTATAAACACACTTATTTCACTTTACCAGTGTGTTGTTAGACAAGAATAACTTCCCGTGTGGAGGATACCTACCAGGTGTAACTCTTCAGCAGTCAGCCTGCTTACCAACTGCTGAAATAACAGCCTTTGAGTTGCTGTGCTCTCCTCTGGACTTCCTAGCATCCAGCTGTCAGTGCCCAAAGTGCTGCTCGTTGGGAGAGACCACTGGGCCACTGAGCCTTTTAGAAAAATTCTGACTGGTTTCTGAAAATGTCTCTGATGCATGGCCAAGGGCTCTAGGGTGACTGTCCATGTTTCTTGAATCTCTTTGCCTGCTAGAAATAAAGATTAATTAGACCAGGATGCCAAATTAAAATTTTAAAAAAAGATTAAAATTCCAATATAAGGAATAGATACTAAAAAGAGATTTAATAACAATAAGAAAATAATCAAGTTGTCAATTGAGATACTGTCACTTAGTTGAACACTTCAACACTTATTCTACTGCCAAGTCATCATAGCAAGTTCATTTAGCTCTATAGAAAAAGCTATAAACAAATGGAGTTACAAAGGCAATATGTGATGGCAGAACTTCTCAGAAATTATGACTTAGAAATAAGTATAAGTATTGAAGGCCAGGCACGGTGGCTCATGCCTGCAATCTCAGCACTTTGGGAGGCCAAGGCCAGAGGATCACTTGAGGTCCATGAGTTGAAGACCAGCCTGGGCATCAAGGCAAAACCCCATCTCTACAAAAAATACAAAAATGAGCCAGGTGTGGTGGCTCATGCCTTTAGTCCCAGCTACTTGGGAGACTGAGGTGGGAGGATCCCTTGAGCCCAGGAAGTCGAGGCTCAGTGAGCTGCGATCTGAGCTATGATCGTACCACTGCACTCCAGCCTGGGTGACAAAGCAAGACCTTGTCTCAAAAAAAAAAGAAGTAAGTATTCAAGCAATGTTTACTACTTATAAGAAAGAAGACACCACTTCTTAAATCCATAAAGTACAGTGCATCATATCTTATGAGGAGGTTAAATTCTAAAGACTGTGTAATGAAATTATATAAACAAAACTACTCTTGAAAATTCCTTAAACTGCACATAATGTACAACAGTTTTATGTACATATCTCTATAAAGTATTATTTCTGTGAATATACAATATATTCAGAAATGAGATTTACCATATAGCAAATCATATGGTGAAACTAATGTAATGAAGATTCCAACATGTTTGCTTTTCCTGGTAACAAGCATCATTCTGGGTTTCTGTAGACTAATTTATTTCTTCTTTTAGTCGACCATTGTTTCTCTATGGTCTTCAATTTATCAATCTACTCTATGAGGCAATGAAATCGTATACCCATGTGCTTGGGCACCTGAATAATATTACCCTTCTTTGGGAACAGCTGGTAAACTTTAAAATCAATCATTCACTTGTTTTTTTGTACAAAGGCTGGCAGTTGTACTGAATTAAGAGTTCAACTCTTTCCTACAGTATCTCTGATTTTGCCTTGATGTCTTTTAATTCTTTCATGACAAGCATTCGTTGAGTGCCTGGGCTGTGAGAAATGCCAAAGAAGTTAAAAGCTTCTTTGAAGAAATTAATGTAACTGAGATTTAAAAAAAAAAAAACCTTAAAATATTATTTGCTTACCTTCAACAGGGAGAAATAACATTCCTTCCATTCGTGGAAACGAGGCCTCATACTCAGGAGAATTGTAGAGCAAACGGTTTAAAGTGGCATCAGTTGGCAGCATTGAAATCCACGGAGAAAGATGAGGTTCACTTGACAGCTTTATTCCACTCCTGAGCAGCATTTCCCCAGCTTGAGCAAAATCCCAGCTGAAAGATTCAGATGGCAAGACAGTGCCACCTCCGTGGTGGAGCAGTTCACAAACAGTCCAGTATCCAAGGTGGTCTGGGGATTCCCACAACTAAAATAAAACGACAAACAACCTTAGGTTACTATAAATTAGGCATTCACAAATAAAAGTAAAGGAAATCAGGAGAAAGTAAAGTTGATACCAATATTAAAGGATCGAATTACACAACCAATGTATTTGCTGAGCTAAATAGAAATAATGGTCAGCATCAAGCTACTGTGCAGCCCCAGAACAAATTACTACCTTATATCCCTTTGAGAAAGCATTCATTTAGTAAAAATAGTACCTCATTTATATTTTTTGTCAAGGAACAGAAAGAAGTGACACAAATCACTGGGTATAGATCATAAAATGTTAGAAGGAACATAGAACCATTATACATTAATAAAAATAACCTTTTTTTTTTTTTTTTTGAGTCAGAGTCTTGATCTGTCACCCAGGCTGGAGGGCAGTGGCATGATCTCGGCTCACAGGAACCTCCACCTCTCAGGTTCAAGCGATTCTCTTGCCTCAGCCTCACAAGTAGCTGGGATTACAGAAATGCGCCACCATGCCCGCCTAATTGTTGTATTTTTAGTAGAGACGAGGTTTCACCATGTTGGCCAGGCTGGTCTCAAACTCCTGACCTCAAGTGATCTGCCTGCCTCAGCCTCCCAAAGTTCTAGGACTACAGGCAACAGCCACTGTGCCTGGCCTATTAATAAAAATAATTATGTCCTATACAGCACAACACAATAATGGCCAGGTGTCATGGGAGTGAGGCAGGAGCACCTCCCCCAGACGGTGACCATCACTCTGACTTGCCCACCCACAGGCCTGTGCAGAGACGAGACAAACCGAGGCCTCGTGGCATCTTTTGCCCTAACTGTTACCATAGCCTGTAAAGTCTGTGCTCTGCCTCTAATCGTTCCTCCATGGTGCTCTAAGTATTCTTCCAAATCACTTCTCTGGTCACGCTACTTCTCTGAAATTCTGAAAGGCTTCCCACTGCCTCCAGAATAAAGTAACTCTTCAGCATAATCACAAAGCCCTTCACAAGCCAACCCTAAACCACCTTTTGGAACACATTATCTTCTACCCCTCATCCACCCCCACTCCTTCTAGGCATATTGAACCATTTGCTATTTCCTGAACATGCCATATTTTAAGGCTTCCCTGTTTTTGCTGATTTCTATTTCCTGGGCCTCCCCTTCTTTCTTCACCAACTGAATGGTTATTACGCTTCTGTATCTGGCTCAAATCCTGCTTTCTTTGTAAAAGCCCTGCTTCACTCCTTCACACACAGCTGACTCTTCAGTCAACCTTCTGTCAACAAACTTTTATTGAGTAACTTCTATGTGCCATGTCTAGGATCTCGAAGTGGGGCGGGGGGTGTGAATAAAACAGTACCAACATAAAATGTTTAACGTGGCATCACAGTATAACAACAATATTCAGCTACTATGGGAATATGAAGGAGCACACCCCTTAGAATATGCTCATCATGCCGGGTAACAATTATAAATTATAATTGCTATGTGAATGTTAGGAATCAGAACTAGAAGGGTCTCGAAAGTCAACTAGGTCATTCCCAAACTTCCCATTGTAGTCAAGTTCAAAGACAAGCAGGGAATCGTCCATGGTCCCAGCAAGGCAATGATAGACAAGTCCAAGAACCCAGGACTGTTCTGAATAGACTGCTTTCATTTATTTTTATTTTTTGAGACAGGATCTTGCTCTGTTGCCCAGGCTGGAGTGCAGTGGTATGAACATGGCTCACTGCAGCCTTAACTTTCTGGACTCAAGCAATCCTCTCGCCCCAGCCTCCTGAGTAAGTAGCTGGGAGTACAGGCATGTGCCACCACACCTGGCTAACTTTTGTATTTTTTGTAGAGATGGGGTCTCACCATGTTGCCCAGGTTGGTCTCAAACTCCTGGGTGCAAGAGATCCTCCTGTCTCAGCCTTCCAAAGCTGGGGTTACAGGTATAAGCCACTAGGCCTGGCCTAGACTGCTTTTAAAATTCGGATCATGACCATCTGACGGACTTTGATAGATTCTCTGATGGATTGAGTGGTTTATGATCAGCATTAAAAACAAACAAAAAAAAGATCCCATGTAATGAAGATAAACAATGTATTGGAGCACATTATCTTCTAATCTATCTAAACTTTTCAGTCATGAATATCAATCTGGAAAATGCTGTATTAGATTAACCAATTAATTAGTATGTGATGTTACCACCCATGTATCTATATCTGTGTTCACTGCTATGGAGAGAATGGTAACCTAGTTCAGACGCCATAGATCCTGATTAGGATTTTCTGCCAAATGGACACAAAAATTTTGTTGAAATTGTTTCAGCCAGAAGACCAGCCAGGAAAACAAACAAAAAAACCCTGTTAATAAAATGAAAGGTTAAGATGTAACTTTATGGCCGGTTGTGGTGGCTGACGCCTGTAATCCCAACACCCCTCACTTTGATCCACAAGGCAGGTGGATCACCTGAGGTCAGGAGTTCAAGACCAGCCTGGCCAACATGGTGAAAACCCATCTCTACTAAAAATACAAAAATTAGCTGGGTGTGGTGGTGGGTGCCTGTAATCCCAGCTACCAGGGAGGCTGATGCAGGAGAATCACTTGAACCTGGGAGGTGGAGGTTGCATTGAGCCCAGATTGTACCACTGCACTCCAGCGTAGGTGAAAAGAGTGAAACTCTGTCTCGGGAGGTGGGTGGGAAGATGTAACTTTAATAAGTGTTGAAAAGGACCTTAAGTTTCTATTAAAGGTAATGTGTGCATGGCGTAGTCTGCTTAATGTTGCTTACAACAGAATAGCTGAAACTGGGTAATTTATAAAGAAAAGGAATGTATTTCTTACAGTTATGGAGGCTGAGAAGTCCAAGGCCAGGGGGTTGTACTTTGCAAAGGCCTTCTTGCTGGTGGGGACTCTGCAGAGTCCCAAGGCAGCACAGGGCAAAGCAGGGCGATGAGGCTCAGCAAGTGAGCTCAACACTTTCTTCCTCTTTTTATAAAGCCACCAATCCCACTCCCATGACACCCATTACTCCATGAGTTTTGGAGGGGACAAATATTCAAACCATAGCAAAACATGTGATTAAAAAAAAATAACAGCCTGTAATCCCAGCACTTTGGGAGGCCGAGGTGGGTGGATCACTTGAGGCCAGGAGTTCGAGACGAGCCTAGCAAACATGGTGAAACCCTGTCTCTACTAAAAATACAAAAATTAGCCAGGCGTGGTGGCAAGCGCCTGTAATCCCAGCTACTCGGGAGGCTGAGGCAGGAGAATCACTTGAACCCAGGAGGCGGAGGTTGCAGTGAGCCGAGATTGCGCCACTGCACTCCAGCCTGGGCGACAGAGCAAGACTCTGTCTCAAACAAAACAAAAACAAAAATACAAACAGTATACTATAGAGTATGGTCACATTTTTCACTCGTATGCGTATTATAGGATAAGTGACAGACATGTCCTAGTGGTAGTTTCAAATTTGGGGATCTGTAAATGTCCACTAGACTATAAGCTCCAAGAGGGCAGGGACCACATCTATTTGATTCCTTAGCATACCTGGCAGGTATGGAACAAATATGTATTGAATAAATCTAAGGCATAAAGTTGAAAATGTGTCAGAGGTCTCTTATCCTCCATTCTGTCCTATATCTTTGCAAATATGATATCCTGTTTTATGCGCTTGGATCCCTCTGCCTCCAATGTAAGTGCAGGTTCTGTTTCTCCCAGTTCTACTTCCCAGACTGCACGCTCCCCAAGGCAGGACCTGGATTTTCTCTTCCTCCCTTCTCCCTGCTCCTGGACAGAGCACTCCCCAAGGACACAGCCCAAACCTTCCTTTTGCCCAGCATGGCTGGGCAGGTTTTTGAATAGAAAATGATAGATCTTCAGCAGAAGAAAATTCCAGAAAAACTTGAGTATCTGATGGGCATTTTCTTAGGGGATACAGCCGATGTAAGAAGGGAAGCCTCAGAGATGACCCATCCCCTCAGTCGACGGTACATCAGACCTGGAAGGGATCTTTAAAAAGATCCAGTCAACCCACTTATTTCAATGCTATTCAAAAAAAAAAAGAGAGAGAGAGATTAAAGAGAAAAAAAGAGAGACAAAGAATCTCCAAGATCCATCAAGCCCCATCTAACTTATTTCTAGCCAGTATTTAACATAATAAAATTCCAGAAGAAAGTCTTTGATGTGATATCAATTGTTTCCAGCTGAGCAATGTGTTGTATACTGTGTCTAAGGCTTGACTGGCTGCCTTAAATTTTAATATATCTAGGATTTCATTTTCCCCATCAAATGTTTACCATCCCCTTAAACACTTTTTGTCCCTTCCTTTTCTTGACAAACCACTGCTGCCTTATTTTGCATTTGCCACGCCTTTTTTGGGCTTCGCATGTGAAAGCACTTTGAAAATTTTAACATACCATATTATTATTTAAATGCTTGCTCATTTTCCATCTGTAATCTTGCAATTTAACTCACTCCTGGGTTAGTGACATGTATTTCCATTAAGTGGAATCACATCTTTCACTTGGTTAAACCACATTCCAAAGCCTTCCCATTAATTAATTAGAACAAAATCCACATTTTTGACCTTGGCCCTACAGATCGGCCTCTCCTGCTTTCTGACTTTCTCTCACACTGCTCCCCTTGCCTACTAGGTCTCAGCACTCCTTGCCTTTTTGTTTCTGAAACAAACTAAGTTCATTTCCAGCTGAAATCCTTACACCTGCTTGTCTCCTCACCTGGAATGTTCTTTACCTACCTTTGAGTTCCTCCTCCTTCACCATTCAATTCTCTGCTCAAAAAGGCCTTCCCTGCCAGGCACGGTGGCTCATGCCTGTAATCCTAGCACTTTGGGAGGCTGAGGTTGGCGGACTGCCTGAGCTCAGGAGTTTGAGACCAGGGTGGGTAGCATGGTGAAACTCCGTCTCTACTAAAAATACAAAAAAATTAGCCAGGCCTGGTGGCGCCCGCTTATAATCCCAGCTACTTGGGAGGCTGAGGCAGGAGAATTGCTTGAACCCAGGAGGTGAAGGTTGCAGTGAGCCGAGATCACGCCACTGCACTCCAGCCTGGGTGACAAAGCGAGACTCTGTCTCAAAAAAAAAAAAAAAAAAAAAAAAAAAGGCCTTCCCTCACTACCACTCTGTATACAATAACCACCTTCTACTCCCATCCTCTCACCCCATTTTATTTTCTCCAGAGCATGATTTGAAATTGTCACTTGCTTATCTGTTTAATCTGTTCCCTGCTTTGGTTACCATGTCCCCAGCAGCTCAAACAGTGTGGTAGGCACTCAGATGTTACTGGCTTCTCAATGAACATTTGTTGACTAAATGAAGTGCAATGAGAAGGATGAAGGCAAAAGTATATACTTATCCTAGCACTTAACAGGAGCAGGGGGCCTCACCGCCTCAGCAAAAATCCAAATTAGCCATTTAAGACTTTAAGTTTGCAAGAATGTACGCAAGAATGTACTCATTTAGTCAGCCAATACTGACTGAACACCTACAACGTTTAATACACATCTGGGTGGCTGGGCGTGGTGGCTCACACCTATAATCCTGGCACTTCGGGAGGCCAAGGCAGGCGGATTGCCTGAGGCCAGAGTTTGAGACCAGCCTGGGCAGCATGGAACCTGGTCTCCACTGAAAATACAAAAAAATTAGCCAGGCATGGTGGCGTGGGCCTGTAGTCTCAGCTACTTGGGAGGCTGAGGCATGAGAATCGCTTGAACCCGGAGGGGTGGAGGTTGCAGTGAGCCACTGCATTCCAGCCTGGGCGACATACACTGTCTCAAAAAATAATAATAAATAAATATATATATGTATATAAATAAATGTGTATATATATGTGTGTGTGTGTATATATATATATATATATATATATATATATATATATATACACACACACATACACACACACCCCTGGGTATTGTGTTAAAACCTGCTGCTTGCCTCTGAGGTATTTTTAGACTAGATGGAGGGTGAGAGATGTGCATAATCAAAACATATGGAGAAATGGTTAAGTGCCACACAAAATGTGTATGGCAATTCAGACGCTGGACTGAGCAGTTGTCACTGGGAGAAGAAGCCTTAAAGGGTAAGTGAAGTTAAGACTGGCCTGGAAGAGTGAGAACTGGCATTCCAGGCAGATTGAACAACACACATAACACAAAACAAGCAGTCCAGACCTGTTGATTTTCTGGACTGGACTTCAATATGCTAGAGTAGATGTAGTGTGTAGGAAAATCAAGTCTGGGAAGGCAGGTAGGGCCCAAATTGTGAGGGGTCTTAAACAGTAGGTAGTGAGGAACTACCCATTTTGTTGTGAAAACTGTTCCTATTTATTTGTTTCCTTCCGAAGGGACGCATAGTCATATTAGTCTCATTCGGGGTCTGTGGCTGTTCTAAGGACGCTGCCAAGTTCTGGTTAGCAAGGAAAGCACCGTGCACGCCATCTGAGACGACAGTAACCTTCCTTACCTTAGACCATTCGGTGGTATCCACCCAGTAGAAGGTGATTTTTCGGGCGACCATGACTTCCCGGACTCTCTTGGGCAACAACTTCTCCATCACCTGCTTAGGGGTGGGCGGCAGGCGCTGGGCCTGGGCCTCGCACCCAGACACGAACTGCAGCAGCTCCCTCTGCGAGTGCGGACAGGGGGCCAGGAGGAAGACGGCGTTCACCAAGCCCCCGAGCGCGGCCTCGGCCTCCTTGGCCTCGCTCTCCACGTCCAGCAGTCTCCTCCCGCTGCTCCGCAGGATCGGCTTCGTGGGCGACGTGATCTCGGGCCGGTCCCACTGGTAGTCTAGCAGCGTCTCCATCAGGGCGCCGTGCGTGTGGGTGGCCCTGGGCGCCGGGCCGGGCAGGTGGGCGCGATCCTCGAGCCTGGCCTCCAGCTCCTCCTCAAAGTCCTCCCACGAGCGGGACCCCAGCTCGCGGAAGTCAGACACGCGGGACGGCCGGCTCCGCGCCCCCTGCGAGTCAAAGAACTTGAAGGCCCAGTGGACCCTGGCCAGGCCGAATCGGCAACTCAGATAGGTGAGGAGGCGCAGGGCGGCCCGCCGGACCCGGCTGTGGCGGGCGGCGCCGCCCGCGGTGTCCAGCAGCAGCATTACTTTGTGACAGCATGCCATATCGGCCGTGCCGCCGCCCCGGGGCCCCGGTCCGGGCCCGCGCCACCGTCCCTTAGTCCCTTCCTTCAGGGAAACAGCACCACTCACTGCTTTCCTTTGGGACCCTGGTCGAAAGGCTCCCGCGCTCTCCAGGAACTGCTGCTATTGGGGGAGCTAGTTTCCAAGGTTTGCTCCTATTGGCTGCTTGCCTTACGTAAGTTACGAGAGCAACTTCCATTTTTGGCGGTGATTGGAGGGGCAGTGGAGAAAACTTCAGTCTGATTGGTGGAGGGAGTGACGGTGGGCGGGTCTCTGTGGTCCGAGAGAAGCTTAGCATTCATTGGCCTGGGCCTTCGTTTTAAATTTTAAAGAGGTGGTGCCTCGGGGGCGTGTCGAGAAGTTTCGCCATTGGAAAGAGGCCAGCGTTTGTGCGCAGTCGTGAGTGCGGACTGCGGGGCCACGTTTCCCAAGACCGAGGAAAACTTAGTGCCGGGAGGGAATTTGGGATGGTTTGAATCGAACTTGTTGAAATCCCTGTGGACCGCCTAGGAAGTAGAATCTGACGACTACGGCTTTTTCTGTAATTTAAAAAATTTTATTAAAAATTAAAGGTTCACTCCCTTTGCCCCAGTAACTTCTAGGAGTTTATCTGCAGAAGGTAATCGGAGAGCCAGATAAAAGACGTCTGTACATCTTAGAGTTTATTTAACATCAGAAAAAATGGAAACAGTTTGGGAATGGTTAAATAAGGTATGGTACACGCCCAAGGGGAGCATCGTGCAGCTCCTTTTTTTTTTTTTTTTTTTTTTTTTTTTTTTTTGAAACGGAGTCTCGCTCTGTCTCCTAGGCTGGAGTGCATTGACACGATCTTGGCTCACTGCAACCTCCACCTCCCGGGTTCAAGCGATCCTCCTGCCTCAGCCTCCTGAATAGGACTACAGGCGCACGCCACCACCCCAGACTAATTTTTGTATTTTTAGTAAAGACGGAGTTTCACCATGTTGGCCAGGCTGGTCTCAAACTCCTGACCTTGTGATCCACCCGACTTGGCCTCCCAAAGTGCTGGGATTACAGGCGTGAGCCACCAAGCCCGGCCTAGTGCAGCTTCTTAAAATAGTGTTTTATTATGTAATGTTAGGTTTTAAAAGTGGACTGCAAGCAGCACCTGCAGTGAATTCCCTAAATTTTCTATCTACATGTATATATAGATAGAAATCACATGTAGATTTGCATTACAGATAGAAATTATATATCGCTATATAGATAGAATACATAGAATTATATATAGATAGGCCGGGCACGGTGGCTCACGCCTGTAATCCCAGCACTTTGGGAGGCCGAGGCGGGCGAATCACCAGGTCAGGAGATCGAGACCATCCTGGCTAACACAGTGAAACCCTGTCTCTACTAAAAAAAAAAAAACAAAACAAAAAAAAAAGGAATTATATATAGATAGATAATCATAGATAGAAGTTATATATAGATAGAAATGCATTTATATGCATATTTTTAAACTGTTAATATAATATTGTGTACCGGAAGTTGTCTGTGATGGTCTCTCCATGTGATTTTTTTTGAAACTTTTTTACACTTCCTCTTGCTGGACACCAGTGAACAGGCTGATTTCAGAGATGTGAGATGTGCCTCTAGGATCAGTGGAATATGGTATTTGGAAAGAAGAAGGGGACAAAAAATGAAGGTCGGTTACCTGAATATGTGTTTAGGGAGATTGATCCAATACTCCACACCATTGAATTCTGCTTGCTAAGTAATTCTGTTTCCACCTGGAAACAGAACAACTTCCTTTATATGCTTTGGCTACAACTTCCTTTATGTGCCTTGGCTTCTCCAATCAAAGTCCTCAGCAATTACTGCCTCATGTACAACAATTTTCTCTTTTGGTTGAGTTTTCTAGGGCTGCCTGCCATAACAAAGGATCAAACCCAAAAATTGCCTCACAGTTCTGAAGGCTTGATGTCCAAAATCAAAGTGTTGGCATGCACTTGCTCCCCTCCAGCCCCCATGGCTCTAGGGGAGAATCATCCTTTGACTCTTCTAGTTTCTGATGTTTGCTGGCAATTCTTGGTGTTCTTCCTGTGTGTCTTCCCGTCATCTTCCCTCTGTGCATGGCTGTCTCTGTGTCCAAACTTCCCTTTTATAAGGACACCAGTCATGTTGGATTAGGGCCCACCCTAATGACTTTATTTTAACTTGCTTACTTCTACAAGACCCTATTTTCAAATAAGATCACATTCTGGGGGATGCTGGGGGATAGGAGGACCTTAACATATCTTTTTTTTTTTTTTTTTTGAGATGGAGTCTCGCTCTGTCGTCCAGGCTGGAGTGCGGTGGCGCGATCTTGGCTCACTGCAAGCTCCACCTCCTGGGTTCCCGCCATTCTCCTGCCTCAGCCTCCCAAGTAGCTGGGACTACAGGCGCCAGCCACCACACCCGACTATTTTTTTTTTTTTGTATTTTTAGTAGAGACAGGGTTTCACCATGTTAGCCAGGATGGTCTCGATCTCCTGACCTCGTGATCCACCTGCCTCGGCCTCCCAAAGTGCTAGGATTACAGAAGTGAGCCACTGCACCCAGCCAGGACCTCAACATATCTTTTTGGGAGGACACAGCTCAGCTCATAACACCTTTCATCCTTATGCCAGTCATTCATTTCACTCATCCAACAACACTTACTATATACCAGGCACCATTCCTGCCCTAATGGAATTTCCAGTCTAATAGGTAGGGGATCAGACATTAGACAGATAATAATACAGATGAACATAATATGAAAAAAATTTTTTTTCCGAAAAGAGGTTTTTTTGTTTTGTTTTGTTTTGTTTTTTGAGACGGAGTTTTGCTCTTGTTGCCCAGGCTGGAGTGCAACAGCGTGATCTTGGCTCACT
This sequence comes from Homo sapiens, assembly GCF_000001405.40. NCBI lineage: Eukaryota > Metazoa > Chordata > Mammalia > Primates > Hominidae > Homo > Homo sapiens. The sequence goes on along the minus strand of NC_000015.10, from coordinate 89,572,701 downwards.
GCAGCCTCCACCTCCCGGGTTCAAGCAATTCTCTTGCCTCAGTCTCCCGAGTAGCTGGGAATACAGGTGCCCACCACCATACCCCACTAATTTTTTGTACTTTTGGTAGAGATGGGGTTTCGCCATGTTGGCCAGGCTGGTCTGGAACTCCTGGCCTCAGGTGATCCACCCACCTCAGCCTCCCAAAGTGCTGGGATTACAGGCATGAGCCACCACCCGGTCTGAAAAGAATTTTAAGGGGAAAGTGAAGCATAGGATAAGGGACTACAATGGGTGAGCTGGTTAAGATTTTTGTTTAAACTTTAATGTATTCACATATTGCATTTTGTGACATATTGCATCACAAACCTTACTGAAATGTATATTGTGCCTTGAGGTGTTAAGGGATAAGCAACAACCTAACGCAGTGAGATTTAAACTGAGATTTTAGGGGTAAGCAGGAGTTTAACAATGGCGGGTGAGATAGGGACAGGAAAGAGCAGGGAGGAAAAGTGATTGGGGCATCTTTGAAACACCCAGACAGGAAGGAACATAGAGAGTTTGAGGAATGGAAGGAGGGCAGTGGGGCAGTGGGGCTGGGTGGTGGTGAGCAGGTGGTGGGATGAGAGAAAGGCCAGGGAGGCAGTGGGGCCAGTGAGAGGCTCTGGAGACCACAGAGGTAGCTTGGATATTCTACTGAGAATGTTAGGAAGCCAGGGGAAGGTTTTGAGGACGGGAGGGACTTGATATGATTTGTGTTTGGAGAAGAGCGCTCTGGCTACTAGGTGGAAAATTGAATATGTAGGGGCAAGAATGAAGCAGTGAGACCTGTGAGGACATGCTGCAGACCATGTTGGGGACTGTTTTCCAAAGGGAAGAGCTAACACACAAAGAAGTGCCCAAGGCAATCAACCCACTGGGTGCAGGAAGAAAATATTGAACTTCCGTTTCTCTTATTTTTTATCTGACAATGCACTCATTCATTGGGTACCAGTGTTTTGTGACTACTGCATTTTTCATTAATCTGATTAAATGGATTGAAGGATTATCCAATTGAGTTTTAACTAAAACGAGTCTCAAAAAATGAACAAGTGTGGCCGGGTGCGGTGGCTCACGCCTGTAATTCCAGCACTTTGGGAGGCTGAGGCAGGCGGATCACCTGAGGTTGGGAGTTCGAGACCAGCCTGACCAACATGGAGAAACTCCATCTCTACTAAAAATACAAAATTAGCTGGGCGTGGTGGCGCATGCCTGTAATCCCAGCTACTCAGGAGACTGAGGCAGGAGAATTGCTTGAACTTGCGAGGCGGAGGTTGTGGTGAGCCAAGATCGCACCATTACACTCCAGCCTGGGCAACAAGAGCGAAACTCCATCTCAAAAAAAAAAAAAAAAGAAGAAGAAGAAAAAAAAAAAGAAAAAGAAAAAGTGGCTTTACAAGATTCCTGCTAAGAAGTCGTATGTTGGAAGTTGTATTATTAATATTAACAATACAATCACAAGCAAATCACATGAAAATGGTGGATCTGACATTCTTGTTTTCCTAGTATGAGATCTTTTTTAGCCACACTTTGAGATTAAAAAAGACAATTTGATCAAATCTTACACTTGTGTCCAAGTGAAATGTGGAATAAATAAAAAGCCTACTTGAAATGCGTGTTTTTATTATAGTTAATCACAAACCTTACCTAAGTGTATATTGTGCCTTGAGATGTTAGGTAAAATGATCATATGAAGCTATCACAATTAGTAAGACATTTAAAAACTGCCTATTTTCTCTTTATGTCATCCTTTATAAATTTCTATTTTATGTTTTATAATACATATTAGTAGGTATCTGCATATAATTTGCCAGTTAGTAAATATACATATATTAGGGGTGCAGGGTCAGCTTCTATTTCTATATATTTCAAATTACATAAAGTATAATTCTGTCTTCATCAGGGAAAATACCAAATAAATGTGGAAACCGCTGGTCTGCTTATGATGGTGGCCTTGGTACAAGTGATGGATATGGTGAACCGTTGTTGAATTCTGGATATATAATATTTTGAATGTGGAGGTGACATAACTTGCAAACAGATTGTGGAACAGAATAATGACTTCTAGGCTTAGGGCTGAAAATGGAATGAAGGGTGGAGAAGACTCAGTGAGGAAGTGATGGGAAGGAGGGTGCAGAATATCAAAGGTTCTAGTTAACCCATGTTAGCTTGAAGATACCTAATGGACCTCCAAGCGGAGATGCCAGGTGTGTATGCAGTTAGATATATGAACTGGGCCAGGCACAGTGGCTCATGTCTGTAATCCCAACACTTTGGGAGGCTGAGGCCAGTGGATCACTTGAGGCCAGGAGTTTGAGACCAGCCTGGCCAACATGGTGAAACCCTGTCTTTACTAAAAATATAAAAATTAGCCAGGCATGGTGGCTCATGCCTGTAATCCCAGCTGCTTGGGTGGCTGAGGCATGAGAATCGCTTGAACCTGGGCAGCGGAGGTTGCAGTGAGCCAAGACTGCACCACTGCACACCAGCCTGGGTGACAGAGCAAGAGTCCATCTAAAAAAAAAAAAAAAAGATAATGAACCTGGAGCTCTGGGGAGAAATTGAGGCACAGAGGTAATTTGAAAGGGATGAGTACTTAGCTGTCATTGAAAGTCCCAAGCCTGGATGAGAGGTTGGAAAGAGGAGTGGCCACTTGGATAGGAGGATGCTATGGTCTGAATGTTTGTAGTCCCCTAGAATTCATATGTTGAAACCTAATCACCAAGGTAATGGTATTAGGAGGTGGGAGGTGATAGGGTCTGAAGGGCAGAGCCCTCATGAATGGGACTAGTACCCTTACAATAGGCCCTAGGTGTGGTGGCTCACACCTGTAATCCTAGCACTTTGGGAGGCCAAGGTGGGAGGATTGCTTGAGCCTAGGACTTGGAGGCCAGCCTAGACAACAGAGCAAGACCCTATTTATGCAAAAATTAAAAAAAAAAAAAAACTAGCTGGAAGTGGTGGCACATGCCTGTGGTCCCAGCTACTTTGGAGGCTGAGGTAAATGGATCACTTGAGCACGGGAAGTCACGGCAGTGAGTCATGATTGCACCACCTCATTCCAGCCTGGGCAACAGAGCAAGACCCTGCCTCAAAAAAAAAAAAAATAGACCTAAGGGAGCTCGTTTGCTCCACCCACTATGTAAGGACACAGCTAGAAACCTCTGTCTATAAACTGGAAAGTGGGCCCTCTCCAGACAACAAGTCTGCTGGTGCCTTGATCCTGGACTTCCAGTTTCTGGATTGTGAGAAAAAAAAAATGTTGTTGTTGATAAGCCACTCAGTTTATGGTATCTTGTTAAAGCAACCCAAAAGGACTAAAACAGTAAAATCAGGAGAATTTGGTGAATGTAAATCCAGTGAAAAATGGGTTTCAAGAATGAGGGAGTGGAATACTATGCAGCCATAAAAAGCATGAAATCACGTCCTTTATAGCAACATGGATGCAGCTGGAGGCCATTATCTTAAGTCGATTAATGCAGGAACAGAAACTCAAATACCGCAGGCTCTCGCTTATAAGTGAAGCTAAACACTGGATACTTATGGACATAAAGATGACAATACCAGACAGTGGGAACTACTAAAGCAGGGAAGGAATGAGGGGAGCAAGGGTTGAAAAACTGTTGGGTACTGTGCTCACTATCTGGGTGATGGGATCAATTGTACCCCAAACGTCAGCATCACACAATATAGCCAGGTAACAAACCTGCACATGTACCCTGTGAATCTAAAATAAAAGTTGAAACTATAAATAAGTAATAGATAGAAAAAATTAAAAATGAAGCTGGGAAAAAAAGAATGAGAGAGTTGTTTACATTTTTAAAAGTTATCTTTTAGAGATGCCGAAATATTTTACCAACAAAATGATATAATGTGTAGGATTTGCTTCCAAATAATAGGGAGGGGAAGATGCAGAGGTGAGTCTGGGCAGGACTTCCCTGGCCGTGGGTTGGAGGTGGTTAGGCTGAGTGGTGTGTATGTGAGTCTCATTGTTTCATGCCCTCTCCTTCCTTTTTTTTTTTTTTTTTTTTTTTTTTTTGAGACAGAGTCTCCCTCAGGCACCAGGCTGGAGTGCAGTGGTGCGATCTCGGCTCACCGCAACCTCTGCCTCCTGGATTCAAGTGATTCTCCTGCCTCAGCCTCCCGAGTAGCTGGGATTACAGGTGCGCGCCACCATGCCTGGCGAATTTTTTTGTATTTTTAGTAGAGAAGAGGTTTTACCATGTTAGCAAGGATCGTCTTGATCTCCTGACTTCATGATCCGCCCGTCTCTGCCTCCCAAGGTGCTGGGATTACAGGCGTGAGCCACCGTGCCTGCCTTTTTTTTTTTTTTTTTTTGAGACAGAGTTTTGCTCTTGTCACCCAGGCTGAAGTGCCGTGGCGAGATCTCGGCTCACTGCAACCTCCACCTCCTGGGTTGGAGCAATTTTCCTGCCTTAGACTCCTGAGTAGGTAGCTGAGATTACAGGCGCTGCCACCAGGCCCAGCTAACTTTTGTATTTTTAGTGGAGACAGGGTTTCGCCATGTTGGCTAGGCTGGTCTCGAACTCCTGACCTCAGGTGATCCACCGGCCTCAGCTTCCCAAAGTGCTGGGATTACAGGTGTGAGCCACCACGCCCAACCTCATGCTCTCTCCTTCTGTACATGTTAAAATTCTCCGTGATTAAAGGAGGCAGCAGCGGAGGAACACAGGGCATGATTCCCTCTGCCACAGGCTGCTGTGAGGTGGGATAAAATGAAGGCTGAGAATGGACTGTTGGGTTGGGCAAGGTGACGGGCACTAGATTGCTTTGACAAGAGGAGTTCTGCTGGAATGGCGGGCATCCAGGGATCAGGGCACTGGCAGAGGGGGTATGAGGAGAGGAAGGCAATGAGGACAGGCCACTCTCTTGAGCAGAGCTTTTTTTTTTTTTTTAATATAAAAAGGAGAGCTGAGAAATGAGGTGGTAGCTAGGGGACATGAGGAGTTTAGGAAAGGGTGTTTGATGTTTTGTTAACATCAGAATATTGCAGGAGATGTTGCAGTGTGTTTGTACTTGGTTGGAAATGACAGAGATTAAATGAAAAGCTGCTGATAGAAAAACAGCGTTGGGGAGAAAGAGGACTGTGGCAGTGCAGTAGCTGGGTCCGGGGTCGGCTCTGTGACAATTTTAGGGTTCTGTTACAAAAGAGAGAAGGGGAGAATGGATATTGAGGAATAACTAGCAGCCTTAGACACACTAGGATTTGGGCAGGAACAGGGGTGAAAAGAGGAGGGTGAGTGGCTTGAGGATGGGACCCAGGGACAGGCAGTATTGATGAGAAATTATTAGGAATTCTTTCAGCTGTGAAGGCAGGAAATTGGACCAGAGTGGCTGAAGTAGATTGAAGATAGGTGGCTGCTGGTGTAGGGTCATTGGTTCAGTTGTGTCAGGGCCAATGACTGTGCTGTTCTCCCGTTTACACAGGCTCATTAACCCAGGGAAGCTGCATACACCCTGGAAGGCAATGCTTTCATAGAAACCAGCCCTCCTTTCAGATTTTGACTTCCATCCCATTTGACTGAAATGGGTCACATGGCTACTCCTAGCTGCAAGGGAGGCTGGGACATTGGGGGAGATTGTCATGCTGGGAGTTGAGGTGTTGGATGGATCGTTTGCACAGATCCCAGGGTGCTAGGAAGGTATGAAGAATGATGATGGGGCAGTGGCAGAGAGACACAGTTAGCCGTGACCAGAATACTTAGTGAATGAGGAAGAGACCTGAAGAGGACTGTGACAAAGAGGCAGGGTGTGGCCTAATGTCAATTGTTTCAAAAAGGCTGGGGGTTTATGGAGGACCGGAAGGGAGGACAGCTACCCCTATCTCAGGCCAACTGGAATGAGGATCATGAGAGGGAAAATAGCCCTCATTTGAGGAGGCCATAGGGGAAGGGTTGCCTGCAGGCATCAGCCAGTTTTCCTGCAAGGCAAGAAGGTGAAGGGAATATTCAGAGTGAAGGCGGAGGGCACAGTGGGTTTGTGTAGGGGTGCACTGCAAATTCCAGAAGACACACTAGGAAGGCTGAGGAAGGGTGGGAGATGGGGTCAGCTTATGGCTATGCAGAGCTGTAAGGGGTTAAAAATCTACATGAGGAGGATGACCTGAGCTTGAGGGTGTCCCATCTGATAGTTTTAACTTTCTCTGAGGAAGGAGGCAAGACTGAGTGAGCGGGGAGTTGGAGGAGTAGGAGTTGGGGGAAAGAGGAGAAGGTTAAAGCAGCTTCTCCGGAGAGTGGAAGGCGAGTTGGCCAGGCAGCCATGAGAAAGGCCCTGGCTGTGTTGAGGGGCCTGGCTGTAGCTTCTCTCTCGCTCTTCCTGAATTCCCCAGGCGGAATTACCACACCCTTTTCTGCATTCCTATGGCATTTTTCTAATGGAAAAGTTTAAGAACAGCCTAATAGCATGGAATTTCTACCCCTGAAAAGCATATTTGTAAAAAAGCAAAAATCGAACCTGGGTTATGGCTCTCATACCTTCGGTTTACATCAGTGATTGGATTGAAATTGTTTTCAGTTGGCTAAACTGCTCCAGAAAAAAAAAAACAAAAAACAAGTGTGGCGAGGTGGCGAGTGTTGTGTCCCAGCCAACTAGTAAACTCAAGATATTTTAATTAAGATGAGAAAAAGAAAGAATAGCGAGAATGGGCCGGGCACGGTGGCTCATGCCTGTAATCCCAGCACTTTGGGAGGCCGAGGCGGGCGGATCACGAGGTCAGGAGATTGAGACTATCCTGGCTAACACGGTGAAACCCCGTCTCTACTAAAAATACAAAAAATTAGCCGGGCGTGGTGGCGGGCGCCTGTAGTCCCATTGGGAGGCTGAGGCAGGAGAATGGCATGAACCCAGGAGGCGGAGCTTGCAGTGAGCCGAGATAGCGCCACTGCATTCCAGCCTGGGCAACAGAGCAAGACCCCTTTTCAAAAAAAAAAAAAAAAAAAAAAAAAAAAAAAAGAAAGAATAGCCAGAATGAGTTGAGGAGAGGTTTAATTACGCTTGGAGCTAAATGCAATCAAATAGATTTTTAAATGGTCTGTGTGTGAGTGTGTGTGTACACTAGAAAACTCACACACAAAAAAAGAACTATAAAAGCTTGAACTGAGGAAAAGAGTCTTTGTTTGCATAAAAATAATGAACTTGGACCACCAGAATCCCACGTAGGGTGTAATAGATGGTAAGACCCCCAGAAAGCCATAACCCCTAATGGCCCTACAAATGAAGTCAGACAAGATAAGGAAAAACTGAGGATCTGGCATGGATAGCTATGGTCAGAGAGCAGAAACCGGCCTCTTCAGGGGTAAAAACTACCCTTAGATCAAGGGAGCTCAAAATATCTCCCTGCCAGGATCTTGGTATGCTGTGGCCCAGTGAGTGTAGTGTTCTTCCTCTTCTTCCACCCTATAAATGATAGTGTTTATTGCACATGTCCAGTCCTTGTTCCAACTATGTGAGATAGATATGGGCTGGCTGACAACATGAGTTCGTTGTTTTTCTTTTTAACTTTTGAATTTTAATTATAGATCAAGTTTCTCTCTCTCTCTCTCTCTTTTTGTTATGGATACCCGGTGGCTCACACCTGTAATCCCAGCACTTTGGGAGGCTGAGGTGGGCGGATCACCTGAGGTAGGGAGTTCAAGACCAGCCTGACCAACATGGAGAAACCCTGTCTCTACTAAAAATACATAATTAGCTGGGCATGGTGGCTCATGCTTGTAATCCCAGCTACTAGGGAGGCTGAGGCACGAGAATCACTTGAACCCAGGAGGTGGAGGTTGTAGTTACCCGAGATCGTGCCATTGCACTCCAACCTGGGCAACAAGAGCAAAACTCCATCTCAAAAAAAAAAAAAAAAAATCAGACCAGGCGTGGTGGCTGATGCCTGTAATCCCAGCACTTTGGGAGGCTGAGGTGGGCAGATCACCTGAGGTCAGGAGTTTGAGACCCGCCTGGACAACATGGTGTAACCCCATTTCTACTAAAAATACAAAAATTAGCCGGATATGGTGGCACACACCTGCAGTCCCAGCTACTCAGAAGGCTGAGGCAGGAGAATTGCTTGAACCCGGGAGGCGGAGGTTGCAGTGAGCCGAGATCATGCCGCTGCACTTCAGCCTGGGCAACAGAGCAAGACTCCATCTCAAAAAAAATAAAAATAAAAGATAGACCAGGCACAGTGGCTCATGCCTATAATCCCAGCACTTTGGGAGGCAAAGGCGGGCGGATTACCTGAGGTCAGGAGGTTGAGACCAGCCTAGCCAACATGGAGAAACCCCGTCTCTACTAAAACTACAAAAATTAGCCAGGCATGGTGTTGGGCGCCTGTAATCCCAGCTACTCAGGAGGCTGAGGCAGGCGAATTGCTTGAACCCGGGAGGTGGAGGTTGCAGTGAGCCAACATCGCGCCACTGCACTCTAGCCTGGGCAACAAGAGTGAGACTCTGTCTCGAAAAATAATAATAATAATAAAAATAAAAATAAGTAAAATGGTTAAAATATTCCTATGTGTAAAAAAAGGAAAAAATATGTATATATAATAAAATAAAAAGAAATACAATGGCTAAAATGGTCAGCTTTATATTATCTGTATTTATTATAATAAAAAATCTTCAAGCTAGAAAAAAATCAATTGAGCATATTTGTATGGTCTATTTCTAGGTTTTTAATGTTAGTTCACTAACCTATGTGTCTGTTTCTCTGTTAGTACCACACAGTCTTGATTACTGTAGCTGCATAATAAATCTTAAAAGCAGGTAGTATGATTCCTAGCACTTTATTACTTTGTTGTTGTTCAAAATTGTTTTAGCTATCCTAGTTCCTTTGTCTTTCTATATAAATTTTAGAATAAGCTTATCTATATCTAGAAAGAATCTTGCTGGAAGTGCTTGAAACTTACAAATCAATCTGGGGAGAATTCACATCTTTGCTATGATCCTCCCAGTATGAGAACATGTGTATCTCTTCACTTAGTTAGGTCTTCTTGGATATTTTTTCAGTGTTTTGTAGTTTTCAACATACAAGTTACGTACATGTTTTGCTAGATTTATATCTAAAATACTTTTTTTTTTTTTGAGACAGAGTCTCGCTCTGGTGCCCAGGCTGGAGTGCAGTGGTGTGATCTTGGCTCACTGCAACCTTCACCTCCTGGGTTCAAGCGATTCTCCTGCCTCAGCCTCCTGAGTAGCTGGGACTACAGGTGCACGCCACCAAGCCTGGCTAATTTTTTGTATTTTTTAGTAGAGACTGGGTTTCACCATGTTAGCCAGGATGGTCTCAATCTCCTGACCTCGTGATCCTCCCACCTCGGCCTCCCAAAGTGCTGGGGTTACAAAATATTTCTTTTTTAAAACAATCGTATATAGTATTTTATATATATATATATTTTATAAATATATATACACACACACACATATAAAGGAGGAAAATGTATATATATATATACACACATACACATATGTATATATATTTTCCTCCTTTCTTTTTATTTATTTTATTTTATCTTATTTTTGAGACAGGTTCTGGCTCTGTTGCCTAGGCTGGAGTGTAGTGGTGTGATCTCTGCTCTCTGCAACCTCTGCCTTCCGGGCTCAGGCGATTCTTGTGCTTCAGCCTCCTGAATAGCTGAAATTACAGGCTTGTGCCACCACGCTCAGCTAATTTTTTTCTATTTTTTTGTAGAGATGGGGTTTCATTATGTTGCCCAGGCTGGTCTCAAATCTCTGAGCTCAAGTGATCTGCCCACCTCAGCCTCCCAAAGTGCTAGGATTACAGGTGTCAGCCACCACGCCTAGCCCCCGATTTTTCCTCCTGTCTAATGTATGAGTTTAGTGCCATGCATTTTCTTCTTAGCACTGCTTTAGTTGTGTCTCACAAATTTTCACACATTATATTTTCATTTTCATGCAGTTCCATTTAAAAAATTTCCCTTGAGAGTTCCTCTTTTGACCCTAGGATTGTTTAGAAGTGTATTTAGTTTTCAAGTGTTTGGAGATTTCCCTGTTATCTTTCTGTTAATGATTTCTGGTTTTATTCCATTGTGGTTGGTGAATATATGCTGTATGATTTCAGTTTTTTAAAAATTTATCGAGGTTCATTTTATGGCCCAGGATATGGTGTATCTTGGTATAATGTTCCATGGGTGCTTGAAAAGAACGTGTATTCTGCTGCTGTGAGGTGGAGTGTTCTTCTATAAATGTCAATTAGATCCTGTTGGTTACTGGTGTTTTTGAGTTCTTCTATATTTTGATTTTGAGTTTTTTTTTTTTTTTTTTTTGAGATGGAGTCTTGCTCTGTCACCCAGGCTGGAGTGCAGTGGCGCAGTCTCGGCTCACTGCAACCTCCGCCTCCTAGGTTCAAGCAATTCTCCCACCTCAGCCTCCCGAGTAGCTGGGATTACAGGTGCCTGCCACCACACCTGGCTAAATTTTGTATTTTTAGTAGAGATGGGGTTTCACCATGTTGGCCAGGCTGGTCTCCAACTCCTGACCTCAAATAATCTGCCTGCCTCGGTCTCCCAAAGTGCTGGGATTACAGGCATGAGCCACCACTCCCGGCCTATATTTTGATTTTCTATATAGCTGTTCTATCAATTGTTGAGAGAAATGTTGAAGTCTCCAACTATAATTGTGGATTTGTCTGTTTCTCCTTTCAGCTCTATCAGTTTTGCTTCATATATTTGTACAGCTCTGTTGTTTGGTGCATACGAATTTAGAATTGTGTGTATCTTTGTATTCTTGGTAGATTGACCCTTTATCATTCTGCAGTATCCATTTCTAGACCTGGTGATTTGCTTTGAAGTACTTTATCTGTTATTAACGTAGCTATACTTTGTTAACTTAGAATTAATTAAGATGTTTGAGTCTTTTTTCATCTTTTTACTGTCAACTTACATATATTATTATATCTGAGATGAGTTTCTTGTAAATGACATATTGTGTCATATATTTTTTTTAAATCCTTTCTCCCAATCTGTCTTCTGATATATTTAAACTATTTACATTTAAGGTAATTATTGATTCATTAGGGCTTAAGTCTGCCATTTTATTGTTTGTTTTTCTGATTTTTTTTCTCTTTTTTTACCACTTGCTTACCTCCAGGTTACTTGAACTTTAAAAAAAAAATCCATTTTGATTTATCAATTGTGTTTTTAAACGTATTTCTTTTGTATAGTTTTCTTTTAGTATTTTATCTAAGTATTCATTATGTACATATAACTTACCATGGTCTCCTGGTGAAGTATAGTAAAGTATAGAAAGCGTGCCTCCTTTTGGCCAGGTGCGGTGGCTCATGTCTGTAATCCTAGCACTTTGGGAGGCTGAGGCAGGTGGAGCATTTGAGGTCAGGAGTTGGAAACCAGCTTGGCCAACATGGTGAAACCCCTATCTTTACTAAAAATATAAAAATTAGCCGGGTGTGGTGGTGCATGCCTGTAGTCTCAACTACTCAGGAGGCTGAGACAGGAGAATCACTTGAGCCCGGGAGGCGGAGCTTGCAGTGAGCTGAGATCACACCACTGTACTCCAGCCTGGGCAACAGAGCAAGACTCTGTCTCAAGAGAAAACAAAGAGAGAGAGAAAGAAAGAAAGAAAGAATGCTTGCTTCCTTTTAAGTCTCTTTATCCTCTCCCACTTATAATTGTCTTAAATATTTCCTTTACGAATATTGATAACCACATTAGGCAATATTGCAATTTTTGCTTCAACCATCAAACATTTAGAATACTCAAGAAGAGAATGAAAGCTTATTGTATTGACTATAGTTTTACTCTCCCCATTGTTCTTTCTTCTTTCCTGATGTTCTAAGATTCCTTCTTTCATTATTTCCTTTCTGTTGTAAAGTCTTCTTTTAACCATTCTTTTTCTTTTTCTTTTCTTTTGAGATGGAGTTTCGCTCTTGTTGCCCAGGCTAGAGAGCAATGGTGCAATCTGGGCTCACCGTAACCTCCGCTTCCCGTGTTCAAGCGATTCTCCTGCCTCAGCCTCCTGAGTAGCTGGGATTACAGGCGTGTGCCACCACGCCAAGCTTATTTCTGTATTTTTAGTAGAGACGGGGTTTCACCATGTTGGTCAGGCTATTTTTGAACTCCTGACCTCAAGTGATCCACCCGTCACTGCCTCCCAAAGTGCTGGGATTACAGGCATGAGGCACCGCGCTCGGCCCTTTTAACCATTCTTTTAGGAAGTAGGTATCTGGGGGTGATGAACTCTCTTAGCTTTCCTTCAGTAGAGAATGTCTTAATTTTTCCTTTATTCCTGAAGGATATTTTCACTGGATGTAGAATTCTTCACATAAAACTTCTAGACACAAAACAGTTCTCAAAACAATATTCGAAAATATTGTGCCACTTCTGCCTGGCCCCATGGGGCTTCCACTGACACCATGGGTAGGGGAACCTCCTTACCACAGAGAGATGGAGGGAGTTCCAGCTTCCCACTCGGCCTTCTCTGACCACCTCCAGGCAGGGAGGAAGAGGGGTGCCTCGTTCTCACTTGGTTTTGGTGAAAGTCCTGGCTCTCCACCAGGCCTCCTCTGCCACTGTCCCAGCAGGGAGGGAGAGAGCATCCTAACCTTTGGATGGATGTGGTTCCCCAAGTGGCCTCCACTGACTTTGCAGGGGCTGGGCCTCATTGCCACTGAATGGAGATAAAAGTGCCAGCCTTCCACTTAGGCTTCTCTGACACCACCCTGGCAGAAGAAGGGGCCGCCTCTTTACAGCTGTGCGAGGGTGGAAGTCCAGGCTCCCACTCAGCTTTTCCACCATTTGTTTACTCTGTGGAGTTTGGCTGCACTAGAGTGATTATTGGCTAAAAGTTTCTGTCTTGCTAGGCTGCTCCTTTCCTGGTCGCTTGACTAGAGAGCAGCCCTTCTTGGGGCTTCTCTTGTCTGTGTCCATTGTTGTATTAAGTTGTCAGCTTCTCCAGGATCCAGTTAAGATACAATTAAGGCAAAATTAAAACCCAGAGGCTGGGTGTCATGGCTCACACCTGAATCTCAGCACTTTGGGAGGCTGAGGTGGGAGGAGCGCTTGAGCCCAGAAGTTCGAGACCATCCTAGGCAACATAGTGAGACCTCATCACTACAAAAAAAATGGGCACCGTGGCTCGCGCCTGAAGTCCCAGCACTTTGGGAAGCCGAGGCAGGTGGATCACCTGAGGTCAAGAGTTTGAGACCAGCCTGGGCAACATGGTGAAACCCTGTATCTCTAAAAAACTATATAAAAAATTAGCCAGGCGTGGTGGCAGGCCCCTGTGATCTCAGCCACTCAGGAGGCTGAGGCAGGATAATTGCTTGAACCCAGGAGGCAGAGGCTGCAATGAGCCAAGATCATGTGCCATTGCACTCTAGCCTGGGCAACAAGAGCGAAACTACATCTCAAAAAATAAAGAAATACATACATACATAAAAATTAAAATGTATTAGCTGGTTATGGTGGCACATGCCTGTGGTCCCAGCTCCTGGGTAGGCTGAGGTGGGAGAATTGCTTGAGTCCAGAAAGTTGAGGCTATAGCGAGCCATGATTACACCACTGCACTCCAGCCTGGACAAAAGAATGAGACCCTGCCTCAAAAAAAGAAAAGAAAAAGAAAACTCAGAGAACTCCCGCTGTGTCTTTCCCTGGGTCCCAAGTTCCCCAGCCAGTCTCCTTTCCCCTCAACCTTTCAGAGTCTTCTTATGTTTATTATATATGATATTCAAGAGTTTTTAGCTTTACATAATGGGAAGAATAGGAATAAATGTGTCTACTCCATTTTGTGTAGAACCAGAAGCTGTGGGAATCATTGTTCTTATTAACACTTATCTCCTGGAAGAGCATTCCATGCTCATGGATAGGAAGAATCAATATCGTGAAAATTGCTATACTGCCCAAGATAATTTATAGATTCAATGCCATCCCCATCAAGCTACCAATGACTTTCTTCACAGAATTGGAAAAAACTACTTTAAAGTTCATATGGAACCAAAAAAGAGCCCGCATTGCCAAGGCAATCCTAAGCCAAAAGAACAAAGCTGGAGGCATCATGCTACCTGACTTCAAACTGTATTACAAGGCTACAGTAACCAAAACAGCAGGGTACTGGTACTGGTACCAAAACAGAGATATAGACCAATGGAACAGAACAGAGCCCTCAGAAATAATACCGCACATCTACAACCATCTGATCTTTGACAAACCTGACAAAAACAAGAAATGGGGAAAGGATTCCCTATTTAATAAATGGTGCTGGGAAAACTGGCTAGCCATATGGAGAAGGCTAGCCATATGGAGAAAGCTGAAACTGGATCCCTTCCTTACACCTTATACAAAAATTAATTCAAGATGGATTAAAGACTTAAATGTTAGACCTAAAACCATAAAAACCCTAGAAGAAAACCTAGGCAATACCATTCAGGACATAGGCATGGGCAAGGACTTCATGTCTAAAACACCAAAAGCAATGGCAACAAAAGCTAAAATTGACAAATAGGATCTAATTAAACTAAAGAGGCTCTGCACAGCAAAAGAAACTACCATCAGAGTGAACAGGCAACCTACAGAATGGGAGAAAATTTTTACAATCTACCCATCTGACAAAGGGCTAATATCCAGAATCTACAAAGAACTTGAACAAATTTACAAGAAAAAATCAAACAACCCCATCAAAAAGTGGGCAGAGGATATGAACAGACACTTCTCAAAAGAAGACATTTATGCAGCCAACAGACACATGAAAAAATGCTCATCATCACTGGCCGTCAGAGAAATGCAAATCAAAACCACAATGAGACACCATCTCACACCAGTTAGAATGGCAATCACTAAAAAGTCAGGAAACAACAGGTGCTGGAGAGGATGTGGAGAAATAGGAACACTTTTACACTGTTGGTGGGACTGTAAACTAGTTCAACCAATTTGGAAGACAGTGTGGCGATTCCTCAAGGATCTAAAACTAGAAATACCATTTGACCCAGCCATCCCATTACTGGGTATATACCCAAAGGATTATAAATCATGCTGCTATAAAGCCACATGCACACGTATGTTTATTGAGGCACTATTCACAATAGCAAAGACCTGGAATCAACCCAAATGTCCATCAATGATAGGCTGGATTAAGAAAATGTGGCACATATACACCATGGAATACTATGCAGCCATAAAAAAGGATGAGTTCATGTCCTTTGTGGGGACATGGATGAAGCTGGAAACCATCATTCTGAGCAAACTATCGCAAGGACAGAAAACCAAACACCGCATGTTCTCACTCATAGATGGGAATTGAACAATGAGAACACTTGGACACAGGGTGGGGAACATTACATTGGACATTACTTGGACACAGGATGGGGCCTGTTGTGGGGTGGGGGGAGGGGAGAGGGATAGCATTAGGAGATATACCTAATGTAAATGATGAGTTAATGGGTGCAGCACACCAACATGGCACATGTATACATATGTAACAAAGCTGCACGTTGTGCACATGTACCCTAGAACTTAAAGTATAATAATAAAAAAAGAATAAAGATTGTGTCTTACAGACTAAAAAATAATAATAAAAAAACACAAAACTTATCTCCTTTGGGCAAAAAAAAGAAAAAAACCTTATCATATTGGGTTATATTCAAGCAACCTCTTTAAGAGTTTGCCGCATTTTCTAAACTGTAAATTCTTAGAATGAAAGAACTGCGTTTTATTTGTCTTCATATCCCTAGTTCTTAACAGAGTAGGGACTCAATACATTATTTTTTAAATTGTGTTGTAGTATGTTATTAAGTATTCATTACTTACCCAAAGGAAGTTGGGAATTTGTGCAGATACCGACAAGTTACCACTAGAGGGCAGCAGCAACAACTCTTTACAAAGGGCTCTGAAGCCTGCATGCCACTCCGGAATTAAACCTTTCCCAAGAACTGCCTATCCTTAGTTTTCATAAGACAAGCAGAAGCCTGGGAACTGATTGTAGTTGAGCCTCCCAGGGAGACAAAGGACTCTGGGTGACTGACAGGCTGCACCTGGAACACTGGGGCCCCATTCTTTTGGAGAAAGATGCTTCTCCCTCTTCCCTGTAAAGGGAAGAGAATTCACATATTTCCAGCATCTGGTGGGACAGTCATGATGTGCTGGGTTCTCCTCATAGTGGTTCTGCAAGGCGGGCATTATTTCTTCTTCTTCTTTTTTTTCTTTTTGAGATGGAGTTTCACTCTTGTTGCCCAGACTGAAGTGCAATGGCACGATCTCGGCTCACCACAACCTCCGCCTCCTGGGTTCAAGTGATTCTCCTGCCTCAGCCTCCCGAGCAGCTGGGATTACAGGCATGTGCCACCACGCCCGGCTAATTTTGTATTTTTAGTAGAGACGGGGGTTTCTCCATGTTGGTCAGGCTGGTCTCGAACTCCCGACCTCAGGTGATCCGCCCGCCTCGGCCTCCCAAAGTGCTGGGATTACAGGTGTGAGCCACCACACCCGGGCTATTTCCTCCCTTTTACACATGAGGAACTGAGGCTCAGAGGACCTCTCATAGCCAGTAAGAGGGAGTGCTGAAGTTATGACCCGGGCCTGACTGATCCCAGTCTCTTTCCAGTAGTCTACACTGCTTCCCCCAGGAGATGCAAGGACAGCCTCTGCCCTGATACAGTAGAGAGGAGAAGGGAGTTCCTTGGGCAATGGAGGGCCCAGCGTTGTGGCGGTAGAGAGCCAGGCTAGGGGACATGCGCAGAGGAAGCTGCATCCCAGCCCTCCCTGCCCCACACCCTGCAGCCTCTGAGCCCTGAGCCCTGGGGCGGGTCTCCTGGGGACATGGATTTTCCTCTACATCATCCATTCTGCACAGAGTCTTAGGACTCCAGTGGTACCTGGTGGTCTCTGGGGGAAGCCATCCCTTTGTGGCAGTATTTGTGGGCATGAAGAGACAGGGTTGGCCCTGAGCCACCTTTCTTTAATGCAGTGATGATCTACTCTGTGTTTAAGAGTTGTGTGATCTGTGGCCAGTGCAAAGTGAAAATGCAGGACCTCTTGTTTAAAAATTAAGAATTTCAAGATGGCAACATCAGAGCAAGAAACAAAGCACAGGTGCCTGCGAAGCATGCGAGCCTGTGCCATGATACACGTCACATGACCATGAAACCAGCCATGTCTGGGGCACTATTTCTAATTATGACATGATAACAGTGTCCATCTTTTAGGCACGTACTTTGCGCTATAGTCTGTCACTTTAAATATTTTATTTCTTTTAAGCTTTCTAGGGCTGTTTTTCCCCGCTGTGTGTTTTTATCCCTACAATGAGGAGGTTGGACTAGACCAGTTGTTCTTAACTCTAGTTACACATTAGAAGTACCTACGGACATTAAGAAAATACCCAAAGCTGGCCCCATCCCCAGAAATTCTAATTAAACTGGACTGGGGGAGGGGTCTGGGCATGTGAGTAAACGGCTCCCTTGTTCTAAGACTCTAGTTTCTATTTGAGGGTGATGATGACAAAAATATCCTTCCCCTCCTTTGAAAAAGCAGCTGAGGGATCTGGACCACTCTTGCTGCAGTTGGGCAGGGAGTCTTGAGGTCTCAGGTCTGTGAAGTTTTGCTGACAGTCACACGATGAATATGTGTCCCTGGTGGGTCTAGCTAAGGGGCAGGTCTCCTGGGGACATGGATTTTTCTCTACAGCATCCACTCTGCCCAGGGTCTACTCCAGTGGTACCTGGTGGTCTCTGGGGGAAGCCATCCATTTGTGGCAGTATTTCTGGGCATGAAGAGACAGGAGCGGCGTTCCTTCTGTTTCTGGGATCTTCCAGCTTGCCTAGCTTCCTTTGTAAAGCCAGAGCAATTTGTGAAAAGCTGTTATAGAGAAGAAAGCAACAGGAAAATAAAGTTGACCACACACTTTCTGAGTCCCTGGCATTGTGCTGAGGAGCGTTTGTATTTGATCCTCCAAAAACTCTTCCGGATGAGTCTTTTTTTAGGTCTCCGTTTTTATAGCTCAGAAAGGATACGTTGCTAGGCATCACACAGCTGATGAAGTGGTCCCTCTACTGACTGCGAGGCAGGGGCCAGGACTGTGGTTCAGAGAGGCTGTGGAGGTGGACTGGGGTATAGAAGTGGTCAGAGAGGTGCCCTGTCCTCTATCTGACCCCTGCTAGCCTGAGGCCTCGGACCCTATGCTCTTCCTCATGCTCCACCCCCTCCTACCCCAGCAGTACTCCCTGGCCAAACAGTGTCTACAGGCCAGTGTAATCCCAGACCGTTGTGGGACTGGCCCTCCTTTTTCTAGCCAGGGGAGCTGAGCCGTGGCTACAGCCAGTGAGTTGCGGCCCAGGCCTGTCTTATCAGGACTGCACAGAGCCCAGAAACCCCTCACCTGTGAGAATGATCTGGAACACTGGGTCCATTCACCGATCCGGGAACCCAAGGACAAAAGGCAGGTCCCCTGGGGAGGCCGCCCAGTCTCCTCATGGGAGCCCGTCAGGAGATGGGGCTAACACAGACTCAGGCTGAAACTCTGTATAAAATCGAACACCTTCTCTGAATCCTAGTTACGCTGCAAAGAACCAGAGTGTGGCAGCCAGGGTGGGAGCAGGCCACACCCTGATGGCCATCAGCCTCTGGCTCCCCTCAATGGGGGTTAGCCTCACTTTTGAGGAAGGAGCTCAAATTCCCCTCACCACAAACACAATACTCAGAGGGGCTTATAGAGGTTCAGGGGAGCTGTGAGGTCCCGGGTGAAGGAATGAGAAGGAATGGAGACCTCAGTTTGAGTTTCGGGGAGCGAGCAGGATTGCAACCTTCCTAATAGAGCCTTGGCCAGAGCAGAGGGGAGGGCTACAGCTGAGGCCCCACCCTCCTAGGAAGCCACACCATCCCCTTCAGGACTGTGGACCTGCAGTTTCACAACCCTGAGCTGGGCTAAACCAGTGAGACCTGGACCAGCTAATGGGAGCATGAGCAAAGATTTCTATCACACTGTGAATTCTAGGGCTGCCAAGTGGTTTAGGAGTAAAGGGCTGGAGGATCCATTTTGAATTCATTCTTCAAAAGTGTAGGGTCAAATGAAAAGTGTTTCCTGAGATGAAACTATGATATGGGTTGGACGGTGGTGATGATCGCACAACATTGGGAGTATATTTCGTGTACAAGAATGTTTATAGCAACCTTATTCATAATAGCCCCAAACTGGAAACAGCCTAGATGTGCATCAATAATAGGAAAATGGGTAACAGTGCTAGAGTCACACAATGAAATACTACTCAGAATAAAAAAGATCAAACTACAGATACATGTGGTAACATAGGTGACTCTCAAAATCATTACGTTTAGTGAAGGAAGCCTTACACAAAAGAAAATGTTCGATATAATTCAATTTATATAAAGTTCCAGAACAGACAAATCTAACCTATGGAGGAAAAGAATTACAAGAGTGGCTTTGTCTGGTAGGTGGGGCAGGGATTGACTAGGAAGAGGCAGGAGGGAATGGTAATGGGGTTAGGTACTGCTCTATATCTTGGTAGGGATTGGGTTGCACCGGTTTATTCATTTGTCAAAATTTGGAAAAGTTTCACTTAAGATGCTGCATTTTTTTGCTTATGAATTTCACCTCAAAAAATTAAACAAGGCTGGCCGAGGTGGCTCACACCTATAATCCCAGCACTTTGGGAGGCCGAGGTGGGCGGATCATGAGGTCAGGAGTTCGAGACCAGCCTGGCCAACGGTGAAACCCCGTCTCTACTGAAAATACAAAAATTAGCCAGGTGTGGTGGCGTGCACCTGTAATCCCAGCTGCTCAAGAGGCTGAGGCAGGATAACTGCTTGAACCCGAGAGGCAGAGGTTACAGTCAGCTGAAATCATGCCATTGCACTGTAGCCTGGGCAACAGAGCAAGACTCCGTATCAAAAAAAAATAATAATAATAAATTAAACAATACTGAACCCTAGTTAATGAAAGGCATGCTGAAGTAATTAGGGGAAAGGGTGTCGATGTCTGCAATAGATTTTTGGATCCATAAAAAATAAAGTGGATTGATGGATGGATAGAGATGAGACGTAGCAAATGTAGTAAAAATTAATAGTACAATCTGGGTGATGGGTGTAGGAATTTTGACTGTAAAATCATTATGTTTAAAATTTTCTATTTAAAAATGCTGAGAAAAGATACATTGCTATATCATGGAGTAGCACGTAAAATTTATGTGACTTCCGTGCTAGAACAAGAGTGTTTCAGCAGACCCTTCAATAAGTTTGGCCTAAAGCACCTGCTGTTCCCCACAGTTACGTACCATTACTGATTTTTTTTCCTTTCTTTCTCTTGGGAAACAAATGAGCTAGCAAACTGTGCCTGATATGTGGTCTGTCTCTCTCTCTCTGTGGCCAGAAATTCTACCTGTTTGCTGTTTTAACAGACTCAAGAGGGCTGCCCACTGTACTTGTCTGAAAGCTGTAACCAAGTTATGGTTGGTTATTTGTATGTCACTAAGGCCCATAGTTTCTGCCTAAGGAAAAGTAATAAAATAGGTCAGATCACCTCTCCCCTTTAAAGCAGCTGCGTTAATGTGAGCAACATGGCTGAAGGTTGGCACGCAAAATTCTGTGTCCACATCCTAAGATTGAGATGAAATAAGTAGAGATCTAGACTCTTCAGAGTTTTTCTTGTTGTTGTTTTTTGTTTTGTTTTGGTTTTGGTTTTTAGAAACAGGGTATTGCTATATCGCCCAGGCTAGTCTCAAACTCCTGGGCTCAAGCAATCATCCTGCCTCAGTCTCTGAAGTAGATGGGACTATAAGTGCACACCACCACACCCGCTGGACTATTCAGACATTTGAAAGACACTATTGTATCCGTAGAAGCTGAAAAACCAGAGTGGTTATTATGTGAATATCTTGAGTATTGTCTTAGGCAGAGGATAAAGAGAAGAAAAGAAAACCCCTGTGACTGGAGTCTGCCCCTTGGTGGACTAACTCTTCTGACTCATCGTTTCATACCATAAAAAGTGGAACTACTGCCTTCCTGAATTGAATGCAACAAGGGTTTCAGACAATGAACTTCAAAGAAACACTGTGTTCCTTGTGGACTGCTTGGGGCATGCCCTTCGACCCCTGAGAGTTATCCTCACTCTCTCTTGTTCCTAGGGCCACTGTATTAGTTTCCCTGAACTGCCTTAACAAAGTCCCCAAGACTAAGTGGCCTAAAACAGCAGCAATTTATCCTCTCACAAGTCTAGAGGCTAGACATGAAATCAGTGTTGGCAGGGCCATGCTCACCCAATGGTACAGGAGAGACTCTCTCCCTGCCTTTTCTAGATTCTGTTGCTGGCCCTCCTAGTGTTTCTTGGCCTGTAGATGCATTGCTTCAGCCCCATGGCCAGCTTCTCCCTGTGTGTCTTCACATCCTCTTCCCTCTCTGCATGTCTTCTGTCTCTGTGTCAAATTCCCACTTTTTTTTTTTTTTTTGAGACAGAGTTTCACTCTTGTTGCCCAGGCTGGAGTGCAATGGCGCGATCTCGGCTCACTGCAACCTCTGCCTCCCGGGTTCAAGTGATTCTCCTGTCTCAGCCCCTCGAGTAGCTGCGATTACAGCGCATGCCAGCACGCCTGGCTGATTTTTGTATGTTTAATAGAGACAGGGTTTCATCATATTGGTCAGGCTGGTCTTGAACTCCTGACCTCAGGTGATCTGCCTGCCTCAGCCTCCCAAAGTGCTGGGATTACAGGGGTGAGCCACTGCGCCCAGCCTCCCACCCTTTTTTTTCTTCAACTTTTATTTTAAGTTCTGGGGTACATGTGCAGATTTGTTACACAGGTAAACATGTGCCGTGGTGGTTCGCTGCACAGATCAACCCATCACCTAGGGATTAAGTGAGCATCCATTAGCTATTCTTCCTGACGCTCTCCTTCCCCCATCCCTACCAACAGGCCTGAGTGTGTTGTTCCCTGCAACCCATGTGTCCATGTGTTCTCATCATTCAGCTCTCACTTAGAATTGTGATTATGTGGTGTTTGGCTTTCTGTTCCTGCATTAGTTTGCTAAGGATAACAGCTCCTAGCTCCATCTGTGTCCCTGCAAAGGATATGATCTCATTCCTTTTCAGGGCTGCATAGTATTCCATGGTGAATATGTACCACATTTTCTTTATCCAGTCTATAATTGATGGGCATCTGGGTTGATTCCATGTCTTTGCTTTTGTGAATAGTACTGCAATGAACATATGCATGTGTGTCTTTTTCAAATTCCCCTTTTCGTAAGGACACCAGTCATATTGGAGTAGAACCCACCCTGATGACCTCATTTTAATTTGATTACTTCTATAGAGGTCACCTCTACAGGTAGAGACTATTTCCAAATAAGGTCTCATTTATGAGTACTGTGGGTTAGGACTTGAGCTTCTCAGGGGGACACCATTCAACCATAACAGGCACTTTGGAAAAAAAAGATTTGAGGAGCTTTGCATTCATTATCTCATGTAATTGTTAGAATAATATTATGAGGTGCATTGTGGTTGTTTTTAACATCTGAGGAGACTAAGGTGGAGAAAGGCATTAGATGACTTGGTCACTATCACCACAGTGGACACTTACTGTCATAATGCACAGCATTCATCCTTTTCCTTTAGTGACGGCATCCTCATTTCCGTAAAGGTAGAAATTGCTTCCCCTCAAGTCCCTGGCTGTGCCCCCAAGCTCCTTCATCTCTAGCTTGTACATGTAAGCCATATTTAGACAGGATTGTTTGAGAAGGGCTGCCTATGGACATAAAAGTAAAATAATAAATTTTATACAGAAATGAGGGTATCCTGGTCATCATTTTGTTAGAGGCCCTCTTTATTCAGAAATAGCATCAAGATGAATATATTCCAATATTTTGATTTGCATTCAGAAATTCAGGTTGAGCCTGGCACAGTGGCTCACGCCTGTAATTCCAGCACTTTGGGAGGCTGAGGCAGGAGGATCACTTGGGCTCAGGAACTCAAGACCAGAAATCTAGTTTGTTTCTACTATTGTCCAGTGGAATACTGTATGCCCGAATTAATTGTTCAAGTGGGGAAAAAAGGCATCTTATAGTCTACTTGATTATTTTCAAAATAGAAATATTTTTTAAATCAGAAAATAAGAAATCAAGTAAATGCTATTATTTAAAAATTTCAGATGACACAGTTACAAATATCATCCAGAATTCTACTGCTATTAACATTTTGACGTATATATCTGTGTATGTAGCTATTCTTTTAAAATGGGAGCATAGTATGTTTATTATTTCATAATTTGACTTTTTAAACTTAAAATTATATTATTAGTAACTTTACATGCCAATGAGCAACTCCACATTATCCTATTTAAACAACAAGATGAATTGCTTGGAGAAAAATTCCTCCAGGTATAAAACCCAAACCTCGGCCAGGTGCAGTGACTCACGCCTGTAATCCCAGCACTTTGGGAGACTGAGGTGGGTGAATCACTTGAGGCCAGGAGTTTGAGACCATCTTGGCCAACATGGTGAAACCCTGCCTCTACTAAAAATACAAAAATTAGCTGGGCGTGGTGGTGTGGGCCTGTAGTCCCAGCTACTTGGGAGGCTGAGGCAGGAGAATTGCTTATGAGCGGAGGTTGCAGTGAGCCAAGATCGCACCATTGCACTCCAGCCTGGGAAACAAGGGCGAAGCTCCATCTCAAAAACAAAAAACAAAAAAACCCAATCCTCCTGTCCAGGCAGCAGGACCTGGTGGCAGTATCTCGGGGCTGCCTCCACCTCTGCCCTCTGGCCTCATCTTGGTCCCTTTCATCCTCCCTTACCCACCTAACCAGCCTTCATGCCCCTATGCAGTCACTCCAACATCAGCCAAGAATCTTACCTAGACTTTCTATACACTTATGGAAACACCCAACTTTATGTAAATAAACATCAACAGTGGCTTTACCAATTCCAAGTTTATTTTTTTCGCTTAGCAAGAGGTTTGAAGGAAGGCGATCCAGTGTGGGAGCAGCATTTCCACAATGTCCTGAATGTTTCAGGCCACTGTCTTTCCATTCCAGGGTCCTTGCCATTTGGCTTTACCCTCTGTGTGGTCACTAAGTGACTACTTCACCTCCAGCTTCATGTCTGTGCTCTAGACAGGAAGAAGGCAAAAGTAAGGAGGAAAGAGAAGAAGGAGGAAGTGGTGACACCTGTATTAAGAAACCAAAAAGTTGACCGGGTGCAGTAGCTCAAGCCTGCAACCCCAGCCTTTGGGAGGCCAAGGCGGAAGGATCACTTGAGCCCAGGAGTTTGAGACCAGCCTGGGCAACAAAGTGATATCCCCTCTCTACAAACAATAAAAAAATAGCCAGGCATTATGGCATGCACCTGTGGTCTCAGCTACCTGGGAGTCTGTGGCAAGAGTATCCCTTGAGCCCAAGAGGTCAAGGCTACAGTGAGCTGTGTTTGTGCCACGGCACTCCAGCCTAGGTGAGAGAGAGAGAGAGAGACCCTGTCTCAAAAATAAATAAATAGAAAAAGAAAAGAAAGCAAAAGCTGTCCCAGAAATTTCTAGAACATTTCTACTTAGCAGAACTATGTCACATGGCCATGTAGCTGCAAAGGAGTCTAGAAAGCTGAGTATTTTGTCTGGATACATTGTCATCTTTAAAAATATCAGGCTTCTGTTAGTAAGGAAACAAGAGAGAATGGATATATATATATTTTTGTTTAGAAACAGTGTCTCATTCTGTTGCCTGGGCTAAAGTGCAGTGGCATAATCATAGCTCACTTCAACCTCAAACTCCCGGGCTCAACTGACCCTCCTGCCTTAGCCTCCCAAGCTCCCAAGTAGCTGGGACAACAGGTGTGCATCACCACATCTGACTAATTTTTTGTATTTTTTTTGTAGAGATGGAGTCTTGCTATATTGCCCAGGCTGGTCTCAAACTCTTGGCCTGAAGCAATCCTCTCATCTTGGCCTACCAAAGTGCCAGGATTACAGGTGTGAGCCCCTGCACCCAGTCTCATTTAATCTTCACAACCTTTCAGGGGTGAGAAACTGAAGTTCAGAGAGGTCACATAACTTGTTCAAGGTCACTCGATAGTAAGTGGTAGGTTTGTTTGTTTGTTTGAGATGGAGTTTCCCCCTTGTTGCCCAGGCTGGAGTGCAATGGCACGATCTCAGCTCACTGCAACCTCCGCCTCCCAGATTCAAGCAATTCTCCTGCCTCAACCTCCCAGGTAGCTGGGATTACAGGCATGCACCACCATGCCTGGCTAATTTTGTATTTTTAGTAGAGACAGGGTTTCTCCATGTTGGTCAGGCTGGTCTTGAACTCCCAACCTCAGGTGATCCGCCCACCTTGGCCTCCCAAAGTGCTGGGATTACAGGCATGAGCCACCACACCCAGCCTAAGTGGTAGATTTTAAGTCAACTTTGTGTAACAAATTACTCATGCTACACCTTAAAATTATCTCAAACTCGGCCCGGCGCGGTGGCTTACGCCTGTAATCCCAGCACTTTGGGAGGCTGAGGCAGGTGGATCACGAGCTCAGAAGATCGAGACCATCCTGGCTAACACGGTGAAACCCCGTCTCTACTAAAAATACAAAAAATTAACCAGGCATGGTGGCGGGCGCCTGTAGTACCAGCTACTCGGGAGGCTGAGGCAGGAAAATTGCTTGAACCCGGGAGACGGAGCTTGCAGTGAGCAGAGATTGTGCCACTGCACTCCAGCCTGGGCGACAGAGCGAGACTCCGTCTCAAAAAAAAAAAAAAAATTATCTCAAACTCATCCGTGGGGAAGATACTTTGGTGGAGAACCATGACTCTGACAGTTTATTGTCTAGTAGGGGCAACAGACACAGACACAACTGATCATAACACAAAGCAGACAGAGGTGAGCACTTTAATGAAGGGACAAGGAACGTGCAGCAATGCCTCAAGGACAGGTGAGGTTTGAGCAGAGCTTTGAAGTATAGACAGGACTTGGGATTTTTGTAAGTTTCATTGTGGGAGGGTGTTCCAAGCAGAAAGAGCAGTATGGACAGAAGCAAGGAGATGGGAAGCTGAGTTGAGCAGAGGCATTCACATGAGGCAGAGTGGGAGATAAGGGTGGGAAGCTGTGCTATGGGTGTGTTGTGGTTCTGTAACTGCCCAGCTCAGGAGTCTGGGCTTTATCTTTATTCTCTGTAGGCTGGGAAAGATTTTGAAAGAGAAGATTTTGAATGAGGAGAGAACTGAAAGAATTGCATTTCGGTTTTCACTGGGGAGGAAAAATTGTGAAAGGAGAAGAAAAAGGGAAAGGCATGGATCCCAAAGATGTAGCCTTTGGAGGACAAATTTGTCAGCATTCCCCAAGTGCTGGCAGCCGAAGAAGACTCAAGCCTAGAAGCCCCACATTCACCCC
Organism: Homo sapiens; assembly: GCF_000001405.40. Taxonomy (NCBI): domain Eukaryota; kingdom Metazoa; phylum Chordata; class Mammalia; order Primates; family Hominidae; genus Homo; species Homo sapiens. Next base: position 89,546,346 of record NC_000015.10, on the reverse strand, counting down.
AGCAGGCACCTGTGCAGACGCTGACTTTGGTTTGGAGCTGATGGAGGGTGGGAGAGGAAAGCCTTTTATCCAAGCCTCTGGGGAAGTAGGGGGAACAGAGCTGGGATGGTGTCCATAAAGCCAGGGCTGGGGACCAAGCATCAGGCCAAGGGGACCCTCCCAGGTAACTGCCTGTACCACCCTGTCCCCGGCCCACTGACTTTTACTGCCAAGTTGGGTGACTGTGCATTTAACCCGAGAGTGGCCTGGGTCCAGCCTGAGCTGCTCTTGCCATACTGGCAGGGGTTGAGGTGGAGACAGGGTTGGCTTGGAAAGACTTCAAGTCAAATATGAAGATAATTTGATTCATTCAGCTAATGGCCAGTTGGGATGGGCAATTAGTGCAATTAGTGTGAGAACTGAGTGGTGTAGGAAGTGTGGTCAGCATTGTTGGTTCTTAGCATAGACACATTCCATTTGAAGATGACAGGGAACACTGCACAAGTCAGAGGTGCTGAGTAGGTGACATTGTCCCCACAGGCACCTACAGGCCTAGCGTCCTCTCATCTGAGCATCTCTGACCTCATGGGTGTAGTCCTGGGGCAGCCCAGTTCTTTTTTCCTTAGCTGTTATGTTTATTCATTGAGTGTCCTTGTGTGTTTATCCTGATTACATTCATACACACATACACATACACATACGTATATATAACCATACACATATACCTATATTTTTTACTAAAAGCTAATACTTGCTTATCACAGAAAATTTAGGAAATATGCATAAGCAAATTGAATAAATTAAAATCATCACCCAGAGTTAACCTCTATGAACCTGTTATGTAGTTCCTGACAATGCTTTTTTCCCAGTGGGAACATACCACAAATAAACATTGTCAGGAACTACATAACATTTAAAAAATAGATTATATCAATTTTAATCAATTTTAAAAATAGATTATAGGCTGGATATGGGGGCTCACACCTGTAATCCCAGCACTTTGGGAGGCCTAAGCAGAAGGATTGCTTGAGCCCAGGAGTTTGAGACCAGCCTGGGCAACATAGTGAGACCCTGTCTCTACCAAAATTTTAAACATTTAGCCAGGCGTGGTGGTATGTGCCTGTAATCCCAGCTACTTGGGAGGCTGAGGCAGGAGGATTGCTTGAGGCCAGGAGTTTGAGGTTGCAGTGAGCTGTGATTGAACCACCACACTCCAGCCTGGACGAGAGTGAGACCCTGTCTCAAAAAAAAGAAGGAGGAGGAGGAGAAGGAGGAGGAGAAGGAGAAGGAGGAAGAAAAACACCATCTTGCAATCCCTAATCCTAATGAAGTAATTGATTCAGGCAAGTAGTATCAGTGGATGTTAAAACCATCAGGTAAAAAGTTTCTAGGGGGAAAATGACTGGTCTAAGGAAGAAAATACAGTTACACTGGAGGGAATTGTGTCCACCATCTTAGCATTACTGCTAGTAGGATGACATCCTGTGCTTTCCAAGGCGATGGATTAGGCAGTCCACATCACCTGGGATATATTCTTCCCAAAATATTAACCTGAGATCAATCAAGACTTTAAATCTAACTTCCAGTTTGTAGGAAATGCAAGGGATATGGAACATATTAAGTGACACCACAAGGAAAGAGTCAGATACATAGACAGAACAATTCAACTGGACACCGGCGTGGGTTCTTCAAATCAATGTTAAAACACACACACACACACACACACACACACACCACAAAACAAAACCAGTGGGGATTCCTTGAGATTAAAGACACATAAGTTACATGATAACCGAATCCAATTCTTGGTCCACAGTTGGAGGCTGCTTTGAATAAACCATCTAAAAAAATCATTTTTAGGGTAGTAAAAGAAATTTGTGTAAGAACAAGGTATTAGATGATAATAAGAAATATGTTGATTTTTTAAGTGTTATGGTAGCTTTGAAAAGATGCCTACTGAAGTATTTAAGGATGAAAACATTTTAATAGCTCCTTTGATGTTGTCACTTTAAAAACTTAAGCAGAAAAAAATAGATGAAAAAATATGGCAAAATGTTAAAACTGTTAAATTTGAGTAATGAGTATATTTGGATGATGGGTATTCACTATAGTATTCACTGTATTTTTCTATATGTTTGAAGTTTTTCATATTAAAACATTTTTAAAAATAATAGTATTTGCTCAATGGCAAATTTGCTCAAACATTAAAAAATCTGGAGATGTCATATAGAGAATGCCTGGCCAGATGCCTGGCTTCTCTGGAAAAATCAGAGTACCTGGCTGTTGGGCCCATATTTTCAAATGGAAACATCTGGCCCTGAGCAGTGGCTGCTCCTTCAGGTCTCCTCTGGTCCCCAGCAGTTCTCCTCTGCCCGCTTCACTCAGTTTGCCTAAAAAGGCCCAATAAAACATAAAAGCAACAATGAAGCCATTGCTTCCAGGATACGTGGAGAAGGAAGGGCCCTGGTAAGAAGGAGGGACCAGCTTTATGCTGATGACTCCTGCGGCTGAATGAGAACCTGAGGCGATGCAGGTGGGTTCTGTCCCAGGCAGCAGGTCAGTACCCAGAGGCATTTCTCAGGGTAGTGTGGTTGGCTCTGTGGTGTGTCTCAGTCATGTGATTTTAGGTCGCTGATATATGTGAACATTTATCATTATTCTTGGCTGCTCATGCACACTCTTCTTCTTTTAGGGTGTCCTTCACATTTTGAGTCTGTGCCTCCCAGGAGTAGGAACTGGAAACTTACTTCCCCAGCTTCCTTTGCAGCTAGGGCACAGACATGTGACCTGCTCTCCACCAATCAGATGCAACCTTGGAGCCTAGGAGTTGGGAAGTGAGAGTGGTTTTGACAGGGTGGTGGCAGAAGCACTCAGACTTCGAAGGCAGCTGTGGCAGGGTTGCGTGGTGGCATGTGGAGCCCTGCATCCACTACATGAGGGGCAGCGTGGCCTATGGGCAGCAGAGTTGTTTCCTCATAGTGGCTCTGCCTTGTCACAGCTGTCAAGCCTGACCTCTGCCTTCACAGAGATTCCTCAAGAGGCACAAAAAAGCCTTTTCTGCTTAACTTGCCAGAGTGGGTTCTGTTGTTTGCAGCCAAAAACTCTGAGTGATTTGCCACTTAATCTCTCTAGGCCTCTTACTGTGAAGAATGAAGGAGATAACATAGCCTGGAAGCCAAGCTCTCTACTTCCCCCAGACCTGGTCATTCTGAGAGTCAGCCCCCACTGAGATGTGGAGCCCCAGGGTGCTGAGAAGGCATCAGCTGGGAAGGTGCAGAGAGAGGAAGCTGTTGTCGTCTTAGTGAAATCTCCAAAAGGAGCCTTGTCTTGGCTGGGTGCAGTGGCTCACGCCTGTAATCCCAGCACTTTGGGTGGCCGAGGCAGGTGGATCACTTGAGGTCAGGAGTTCAAGACTAGCCTGGCCAACATAGCAAAACCCGTTTCTACAAAAAAAAAAATACAAAAATTAGCCGGGCGTGGTCTCAGCTACTTGGGAGGCTGAGGCACAAGAATCACTTGAACCCGGGAGCCGGAGGTGGCAGTGAGCCAGGATTGCACCACTGCACTTCAGCCTGGGCGACAAAGCGATATTCTGTCTCAAATGGGAAAAAAAAAAAAAAAAAGAGCCTTGTCTTGTCTACCTTGACATTAAGCATTTGATTCATGTTTCTTGACAAGGAAGAGTTAGTCTTGCTAATCAGATAGGGCAAATGAGAACTGAACTTCTTCCAAGCCACTATGAGCTGTTCCCTTTGGGTCCTTTTGAAACTCAAGAATCTCCTGTGATGAATACTTCTTTCACAATGCTCCCAGAGCTTAATGGATTAATATTACCTTGGTCTTGGGACTCTATGTTCCTTTGATCGTTTGATCCCCAAGACTCCCAGAGAAAAACGAAAGAAGAAGGCCACACCACAAATTCTGGTGTTGAGAAAGAATACATTGGAGTTAGCCAAATCAATTAGCCACGTGATATATAGCAGCCATGTCTAAACACTGTTTTCTCTCATTTTTTAAAAATTTATGAATAAAAAATGTCCTCTTTGGCTTCCCAAAGTGCTGGGATTACTAGCATGAGCCACAGCGCCTGGTCTAAACGAGGCTCTCTGACTCATCTGTACTGGTACCAATCGGGAAGAAACATCCACCTCAGAGCCCCCTTTCATCAGCCCAGGGGCTACTCACAGCACGCAGTGAGTGGAAAGAGGAAGACTTCCACTGCCCTGACTCAGTTGCATTTTCAGCTCACCCACCCCAATCTCCTTCTTAACCACCTGGGTCTGCCCACCTTCCTGCCTTCCTCTGGGATTTGATCATGGAGCTTAATCCCCAAGGATCACGTGGAGACGACCCAGCAACCCAACCATCCAAAAGTCAGGAGCTGAGTCACTGGGGCCACTTAGACTGCAGATTAATAATAATTTACTACTAATAATGACAGCCAACATATAGTGATGACTGTATGCCAAGCACTGTTCTAAGAACTACACATACATTAACATTTCATTTTCATAATAACTCCATGAGGTAAGTACCATTATCTCCATTTAATGAGGTAGAGAAGTTAAGTGACTTGCCCAAATTTACACCATCTCATTCCCATGCTCCCAATTGCCTAATTACTCATAAGGGTAAGAGGCAAAGTGGAGAGTGAGTTTATAGAATTGTATCATAGTTCCCAGGTGAGCTTTTCACTCTGAGAAGGTCTTGGAGGATGAGGACATTTCTCTGGACTTTCTGTGAACACGAGACAAATCTTTTCTCAGTATTTTCAAGGGTTTGCAATGGCCCTCTGGGTGTTCAGTTGCCTAGACAAGCAGCCAGAGGCGTGCAAGGAACCTGACATCTTAGTGAGATGGCTCGGCTCTCCTGTGACCAGGTGTACAGTTCACTTAACCTCTTTGAGACTCAGTTTCTTTCTTTTTTTTTTTTTTTTTTTGAGATGGAGTCTTGCTCTGTGGCCCAGGCTGGAGTGCAGTGGCGTGATCTCAGCTCACTGCAACCTCCGTCTCCCAGGTTCAAGCAATTCTCTGCCTCAGCCTCCCGAGTAGCTGGGATTACAGGCGCCCGCCACCATGCCTGGCTAATTTTTGTATTTTTAGTAGAGACAGGGTTTTACCATCTTGGCCAGGCTGGTCTTGAACTCCTGACCTCATGATCCACCCTCCTCAGCTCCCAAAGTGCTGGGATTATAGGAGTGAGCCACCACGCCCAGCTGAGACTCAGTTTGTTTATGTGTTAATCAAGAATGAGAGTACTACTCAGCTCATGGTGTTGCTGTGAGGATTAAATGAGATTATGCATGGAGAGTGTTTACGCAGAATAAATGAGTATTCATTGTAATTATTAGCTGTATCGTGTCTTCCCCATTGTCCATTATCCACACGCGAGAGTTATATTCTATGTAACAAATACCAGGAAGATGGAGTGGCTCCAAGCCACGTAACTCTGCTAATCCTGTGAGAAGACTGTCAAACCTCTGAAGGTCAAGGTAAAGCAGAGGTCACCAGACAGTGCTAACCTTGAACTAATACCTGCAGGATGTTAGCCACCTGTTGGGTGTCACAAAAGTCATGAAAAAATAGAAGAAGACAAAACAAACCAGGAAGGGAGGCTTGTGACAGCCCTACCTTAACCATAAAGAAGGCACTAAAGGATAAGAAAATAGAGAAGACACTATACCTATTCAGGGAGAACCAAAGGGGAGAGAACAAAACAGGCTTGGTTTAAATCATCCTTCAGCTGCAGACGTCAGCGCTGAAGCCGGTGCCCTGCATTGCTCACCCCTAGTCCTTTGGATAGTTTAATTTTAACACCTTCTTTACAATTATGTTTTTCTTTCTTAAGAAAGTTATGAGTGTAATTATATATTTCATACATACAAAATATATTAAAAACTGAACAGTTTTAAAGAAAAATAATAGAATGAGTACCTATATACTCACCATCCAGCTTTAAAAATGAAGTTGCCAGTGCCCTAGAAGCCACTGTGTGTCCCCCTTCCGTGATTCCACACCCCTCCCTCCTCACCATTCTTTTTTTGTTTTGTTTTGTTTTTTGAGACAGAGTCTCGCTCAGTCACCTGTGCTGGAGTGCAGTGGCACGATCTTGCCTCACTGCAACCTCCGCCTCCCAGGTTCAAGTGATTCTTCTGTCTCAGCCTCCCGGACTACAGGCGCGCCACCGTGCCTTGCTAATTTTTGTATTTTTAGTAGAGACGGGGTTTCAGTTACTATGTTGGCCAGGCTGGTCTCGAACTCCTGACCTCAGGTGATTTGCCCACCTCAGCCTCCCAAAGTGCTGGGATTACAGGTGTGAGCCACCACGCCCAGTCCCGCATGACTCTTCTGAATTCTGGGTCACTCATTTCTCTGATTTTCTCTATCTGTGAACCACTATATATGCTTCCCTAAACGTTACGCTGTTAGCTGTGCCTGCCTCTCAACTTTACCTCCTTTCTTGTTTTCTTTTCATTTTTAAAAACTTTTTATTTCATTCCCCCAACCATCCTACTTGTTTGGGATTTATATGGTTTATGTCTGGTCTTTTTAGCGGTTATCCTAGCTCTTTATTTTTTTATTGTGGTAAAATATATATAACACAAAAGTCACAATTTTAACCATTTTTGAGAGTTTAATTCAGTGTTGTTAAATACACTCACATTGCTGTGCAATTGTCACCACTATCCATCTCCAGAACTTTTTCATCATCCCAAACTGAAACTCAGTACCCATTAAGAAGTAACTCTCCTTCCCCAATCCCTGGTGACTACTATTCTACCTTCTGTCCCTAGCTTTAACATGCATACCTAACATAATGAAGCCAAAAGTCAATCAATATCTGTACATTCCTCCCAAATAATATAGGAACCTTGGAATGCTTTAATTCCAATCACACTTCCCTGACTTATATGGTATTCTCCCACAGCATTTGAGCTTATTTCCCATGTCACACACACAGATTTCAGCGTATTTAATATTTTTGTAAGGACAATATAAACTTAATCTTGTTCACATATTTGCCAACATCTTTGCTCACCGTTTCTTTTTCTCCTTCTTTCCTTCCTTCCTTCCTTCTTCCTTTCCTTTTCCCTTTTTCCCTTTTCCTTTTCCTTTTCCTTTTCCTTTTCCTTTCCTTTCCTTCTTTCTCTTTCTTCCTTTCCTTCCTTCCTCTCCTTCTCTTTCTCTTCCTTTCTCTTTCTTTCCTTCCTTCCTTCCCTCCATCCTTCTTTCCCACTCTCCCTCCCTCCTTCCCTCCCCCCTCCCTCACTCCCTTCCTTCCTTCTTTCCTTTCTATCTTTTTCTTTCTTCTCCCACTCTGTCACCCAGGCTGGAGTGCATGGTACAAACATGGCTCACTGCAGCCTCCACCTCCCAAGGCTCAGGCAACCCTCCCACCTCAGCCTCCTAAGTTCCTGGGACTATAGGTGTGCAACACTATGCTCAGCTAAGTCTTAAAAATTTTTTGTAAAAATTAGCCGGGCGTAGTGGCGGGCGCCTGTAGTCCCAGCTACTCGGGAGGCTGAGGCAGGAGAATGGCGTGAACCCGGGAGGCGGAGCTTGCAGTGAGCCGAGATCCCGCCACTGCACTCCAGCCTGGGCGACAGAGCGAGACTCCGTCTCAAAAAAAAAAAAAAAAAAAAAAAAAAATTTTTTGTAGAGACTGGGTCTCGCCTTGTTGCCTAGGCTGGTCTCGAACTCTTGGGCTCAAGTGATCCTCCTGCCTTGGCCTCCCAAAATGTTGGGACGACAAGTGTGAGCCACTTTCCCAGCCCCATTTATTTTTCTATCTCAGTTCTTCCATCTGGGATACCTGAAGTACATTCTTTAAATTTTCTTTAGTAATAATTTTTTTGGTAGCACACTCTGTTTGTGTTTGTCTGAAAATGATTTTATTTCACCATTCTTGAAAGATATGGAATCTTGACAGCTGTTTTCTCTTAGGACAGCAAAGATAGTATTCTGCTCTCTTCTGGTTTCAGTTGTTGCTGCTGAGAAATTAGCCATCAGTCTAATTGCTATTTATTTGCAGGTGACCTGTGTTTCTCTCCAGCTGCTTTTTGGATTCTATCTCTCTGACTCTTGTGTTTGTGTTATAGTTTTGCTGTGAGGTACCTGAGTTTGGATTTCTTTTTGTTTATCCTGCCTAGGATTCACTGAACTTCCTGAATTTGAGGATTAGTATCTTTCAACAATTCTAGAACATTCTCAGCCATCATCTCTGCATATTACCTTTTTCCTATTTCATTACTTATTTCCCATTGAAACCATTATTTTATATAGTTGAGACTTTTCACTGTATCTCTTAATATTTTTTATCCTCTTTTTAATATTTTTCATCTCACTGTCTTTCTGGGCTGTATTTGTTGTATTTTCTTCAGCTCCGTATTTTCAATTCACTAATTCTTTCTTCTACTATATCTAATCTTAAATTTGAAACAGGTTGGCAAATCATATCTTATGAGCCAAATCTGGCCCATAGCTTGCTTTTAGGTTTTTTTGTTTGTTTTGAGACATGGTCTTTATCACCCAGGCTGGAGTGCAGTGGCACAATCACAGCTCATTGCAGCCTTGACCTCCTGGGCTCAAGCTATCCTCCCACCTCTCAGCCTTCTGAGTAGCTGGGACTACAGGCATGTGCCACCATGCTCAGATAATTTTTGTGCTTTTTGTAGAGGTTGAGTTTCACCATGTTGACCCAGGATGGTCTCAAACTCCTGGGCTCAAGTCATCTACCTGTTTTGTCCTCCCAAAGTGCTTGGCTTACAGGTGTGAGCCACCATACCTGGCCTTTTTTTATATGGTCTTTGAGCTAAGAATGTTTTTTAAATTTGTAAAGCATTGTAAAGAAAACCAAATAATATGTGACAGAGATCTATATCACCCATGAAGCTTAAAATATTTCTTACCTGGTCATTTGCACACACACAAAAAGCCAACTAATTTAAATCATTCCCTGTTGAAAAATCTTTTTTTTTTTCTTTTTCTTTCTTTTTTTTTTTTTTTTTTTTTTTTTTTTTTGAGACAGACTCTCACTCTGTCACCCAGGCTGGAGTTCAGTGACGTGATCTCGGTTCATTACAACTTCCGCCTCCTGGGTTCAAGCAATTCTCCTGCCTCAGCCTGCCAAGTAGCTGGGATTACAGGCCCTCACCACCATGCATGGCTCATTTTTGTATTTTTAGTAGAGATGAGGTTTCACCATATTGGCCAGGCTGGTCTCGAACTCCTGACCTCAGGTGATTTGCCCACCTCAGCCTCCCAAAGTGCTGGAATTACAGGCATGAGTCACTGCGCCCGGCCCAAAAATCTTTTTTCAATTATAGAAAATTTCAAACATACAATATATAGAAAAGGATTGTGACCTAAATTCTTGCGACCTAAATTCAAGCAATTTAATGTTTTGCCATATTTATTACATTTATATATTTTTTTGCTGAACTATCTTAAAATAAACACTAGACTATTAAGTACTTCAGCATGTATCTCTTTTAAGAAAGAACACTCTCCTAAATAACCCAATATTACTATCACACTTAATTAAATTAATAATAATTCCTAAATACTGTCTAATGTCCAGTCCATTCAAATTTATCCAGTCATCTCCAAAATAGCTTTGTTTGTTTGTTTGGGTTTTTCTTTTTGTTGTTGTTTTTTGTTTGTTTGTTTTTTGAGACAGGGCCTCACTCTGTCACCCAGGCTGGAGTGCAGTGGCATGACCTTGGCTCACTGCAACCTCCATCTCCCGCATTCAAGTGATTCTCCTGCCTCAGCCTCCCGAGTAGCTGGGATTACATTCCTAGGTATTTTATTCTCTTTGAAGCAATTGTGAATGGGAGTCCACTCATTATTTGGCTGTTTGCCTGTTATTGGTGTATAAGAATGCTTGTGATTTTTGCACATTGATGTTGTATCCTGAGACTTTGCTGAAGTTGCCTATCAGCTTAAGGAGATTTGGGGCTGAAATAATGGGGTTTTCTAGATATACAATCATGTCAACTGCAAACAGGGACAATTTGACTTCCTCTTTTCCTAATTGAATACCCTTTATTTCTTTCTCCTGCCTGATTGCCCTGGCCAGAACTTCCAACACTATGTTGAATAGGAGTGGTGAGAGAGGGCATCCCTGTCTTCTGCCAGTTTTCAAAGGGAATGCTTCCAGTTTTTGCCCATTCAGTATGATATTGGCTGTGGGTTTGTCATAAATAGCTCTTATCAAACCAACAAAGATCAAAAGAGACAAGGCCATTACATAATGGTAAAAGGAGCAATTCAACAAGAAGAGCTAACTATCCTAAATATATATGCACCCAATACAGGAGCACCCAGATTCATAAAGCAAGTCGTTAGAGACCTACAAAGAGACTTAGACTCCCACACAATAATAATGGGAGACGTTAACACCCCACTATCAACATTAGACAGATCCACGAGACAGAAAGTTAACAAGGATATCTAGGAATTGAACTCAGCTCTGCACCAAGCGGACCTAATAGACATCTACAGAACTCTCCACCCCAAATCAACAGAATATACATTCTTCTCAGCACCACATCGCACTTATTCCAAAATTGACCACATAGTTGGAAGTAAAGCATTCCTCAGCAAATGTAAAAGAAAGAAATTATAACAAACTGTCTCTCAGACCACAGTGCAATCAAACTAGAACTCAGGATTAAGAAACTCACTGAAAACCACTCAACTACATGGAAACTGAACAACCTGCTCCTGAATGACTACTGGGTACATAACAAAATGAAGGCAGAAATAAAGATGTTCTTTGAAACCAATGAGAACAAAGACACAACATACCAGAATCTCTGGGACACATTTAAAGCAGTGTGTAGAGGGAAATTTATAGCACTAAATGCCCACAAGAGAAAGCAGGAAAGATCTAAAATTAACACCCTAACATCACAATTAAAAGAACTAGAGAAGCAAGAGCAAATGCATTCAAAAGCTAGCAGAAGGCAAGAAATAACTAAGATCAGAGCAGAACTGAAGGAGATAGAGACACAAAAAACTCTTCAAAAAATCAATGAATCCAGGAGCTGTTTTTTTGAAAAGATCAACAAAATTGATAGACCGCTAGCAAGACTAACAAAGAAGAAAAGAGAGAAGAATCAAATAGACGCAATAAAAAATGATAAAAGGGAGATCACCACCAATCCCGCAGAAATACAAACTACCATCAGAGAATACTATAAACACCTCTATGCAAATAAACTAGAAAATCTAGAAGAAATGGATAAATTCCTTGACACATACACCCTCCCAAGACTAAACCAGGAAGAAGTTGAATCTCTGAATAGACCAATAACAGGCTCTGAAATTGAGGCAATAACTAATAGCTTACCAACCAAAAAAAGTCCAGGACCAGATGGATTCACAGCCGAATTCTACCAGAGGTACAAGGAGGAGCTGATACCATTCCTTCTGAAACTATTCCAATCAATAGAAAAAGAGGGAATCCTCCCTAACTCATTTTATGAGGCCAGCATCATCCTGATACTAAAGCCTGGCAGAGACACAACAAAAAAAGAGAATTTTAGACCAATATCCCTGATGAACATTGATGCAAAAATCCTCAATAAAATACTGGCAAACCAAATCCAGCAGCACATCAAAAAGCTTATCCACCATGATCAAGTGGGCTTCATCCCTGGGATGCAAGGCTGGTTCAACGTACGCAAATCAATTAACGTAATCCACCATAAAAACAGAATCAAAGACAAAAACCACATGATTATCTCAATAGATGCAGAAAAGGCCTTTGACAAAATTCAGCAGCCCTTCATGCTGAAAATGCTCAATAAATTAGGTATTGATGGGACGTATGTCAAAATCTCATCTTATAGCTCCCATAATTCCCACGTGTTGTGGGAGGGACCAGGTGGGACATAATTGAATCATGGGGGCAGGTCTTTCCCATACTGTTTTTGTGATAGTGAATAGGTCTCACAAGATCAGATGGTTTTAAAACTGAGAGTTTCTCTGCACAAGCTCTCTTTGCCTGCTGCCATCCATGTAAGATGTGACTTGCTCCTCCTTGCCTTCTACCACAATTGTGAGGCCTCCCACCACAATTGTGAGGCCTCCCCAGCCATGTGGAATAGTAAGTCCATTAAACCTCTTTTTCTTCCCAGTCTTGGGTAGGTCTTTATCAGCAGCATGAAAACAGACTAATACACATACGTCATTGTCATCTCATTTTGTCTTTATCCTTATCATAAGCATCAACCAACATTCCTGTTAGAGTTATGGTGAATTGCAACAATAGGTTGGCTATGGATATGAAAAAATGTTCAACATCAGCAGTCACCAGAGGAATGCAAATTAAAACCACAATGGGCTGTCATCTTACACCGGTCAGAAAGGCTATTACTAAAGAGACAAAAAAATAACAGATGTTGTTGAGAATGTGAAGAAAAGGGAACTCTTACATTGTTGGTGAGAATGCATATTAGTACAACCTCTATGGAAAACAGTATGAAGATTTCTCAAGGAACTAAAAATAGAACTACATTTAATCCAGCAATCCCACTACTGGGCTTCTACCCAAAGGAAAAGACATTAAAAAGATACCTGCACTTATATGTTTATCCCAGCACTATTTATGATAGCAAAGATATGGAATCTATCTAAGTGTCCATTAACGAATGACTGGATAAAGAAAATGTGGTAGACATACATATTGGAATGCTATTCAGCCATGAAAAATAGTGAAATCATTTGCAGCAACATGGATAGAACTGGAGGGCATTATCTTAAGTGAAACAATTGAGACACAGGTAAATATCACATGTTCTGACTTATAAGTGGGAGCTAAATAATGTGTACACATGGATGTAGAGTGTGGAGTGATAGACAATGGAGACTCAGAATGCTGAGGGGTTTGAAGGGGGTGGATGACAAGAGATTACTTAATGGGTATAATGGACATTAGTTGGGTGATAGATACACAAAAAACCCAGACTTCACCACTACGCAATTGATGCATGTAACAAAATTGTACTTGTACCCCATAAACTTATAAAAATAATTAATAAATAAGTAAATAAAAGCAAACATTGAGAACAAAAAAAATAGGTTGGCTATGGATACAAGAGTTTGGCAAAAATCAGCAAAAGTATGTTATAATAATCAGTTGTCTATATGGAATTTACAACAAAGAGTATTATATATTTTATCGTTATTATTTGTAAATTATGTGCTATACATCCTTTATATCTGTACAATTTATGTGTGTATATATGCATGCTTTTTTTGCCACATCGTGGGGTGGACCCTAAGACTTATCTCCTGACCTCCCATCTGGGGCAGCCATCAGAGTGCAAGCTAAAATCTCCAGGATCCTGCAGAAACCCTCAGAGTACCAGCCAGTTTCAAGTCTCCTTAATCCTCAGTTTTGGGGTCTATGGATTACTTATGTTTGTGTCAGTTCACAAGGATATACCTAAGAGGATATACCTCAGTTCACTGACGATATACCTGAAAATATATTTTATTTAATTTTTTTTTTGTTTTTTTTTTTTTTTTGAGACGGAGTCTTGCTCTGTCGCCCAGGCTGGAGTGCAGTGGCGCGATCTTGGCTCACTGCAAGCTCCATCTCCCGGGTTCAGGCCGTTCTCCTGCCTCAGCCTCCTGAGTAGCTGGGACTACAGGCGCCCGCCACCAGGCCCAGCTAATTTTTTTGTATTTTTTTAGTAGAGACGAGGTTTCACCACGTTAGCCAGGATGGTCTCAATCTCCTGACCTCATGATCTGCCCTCCTTGGCCTCCCAAAGTGCTGGGATTAGAGGCGTGAGCCACCGCGCCCGCCCTTGTTTAATATTTTATTCAGCATTTAGGTTTTTCTTTAGGAGGATCATTCAGACTCATGCTTTCCATTGATTCCCAGCTACACAGGGCTTGGCTAACCTTTAGGATTTGCTTATTAATTATACCTGTTCACTCCACAAGGATGCAGACTCAGCCCTCTAAGTACGTGCAGCAAATGAGCAGACTATATCTGATTGTTATGCCACTTCCTGTCTCCTCATGAAACATGCTTGGATTTAGGGTGTGAAGCTTTGGGTGGCTCCATTGTTCTGAGTTGCTTTGTTGTGCTTTCATTTTGTGAATGGGTACAGGTAACTTTAGCTTGGGTGTGAGTTATGATTAGTAGTAGTAGTATTTTGGTTCTTCTGCAGTCCTGCTCAGGTTGAGTAGAGCAGCATTCCACAAAAAAGGGGGCGGGATTCATTTTAATTGGCATCCTTGGCTGGCTGGTAAGCAGCTGGGCCCCTGTCTTAGTCTGCTCTAGCTGCCATCACAAAATACCACAGACTGGGTAGCTGAAACAACAGAGTTATTTCTCCCAGTCCTGGACGCTGGAAGTCCAAGATCAAATGTCAGCCAGCTCACCTCCTGGTGAGGGCTGTCTTCCTGGCTTACAGACGGCTGCCTTCTCTCTGTGTCCTCACATGACAGTGAGCGAGCAAGCTCTCTAGTGCCTCTTCTCCTAAAGACACTAATGCTGTGGGATCGGGGTTTCACCCTTGTGGCCTCATTGAAACTTAATTACTTCTTTACTCCAAATACAACCACATGGGGGATTAGGGCTTTAATATAAGAATTTAGAGGGGAGAAAATTCAGTCTGTAGCAGGCCCTCTGAAGAGGAGGCCCAGTATGAGTTCTAGAGTCAGACAGATCCAAGTTCAAAGCCCAACTCTGCCATTCACTAACATTGTGAAATATCTTTCTGACCCTCAGTTTCCTATTCTGAAAAGTAAAAACAAAAAGTTCAATTTCAGAGGGTGACTGTAATGATTACATTAGAAAACGTATAAAAAGTAGCCAGCACAGTGCCTGTCACACCACAGGGGCTCCACAAATAGTTGCCAAGATGATGTTAGTTAAAGTGTGGTCCGCGGACCAGCAACAGCAGCATCACGTGAGGTCCTGATAAAAATACAGAATGTCAGGCTGCATCCTGGACCTGCCAGATCAAGATCTGCATCTTAACACCATCCCCAGTGATTTGAATGCATGTTGAACTTTGAAAAGCACTAAAGTAAATGCTATGAGTTGGCCCAGTTTGGCAATAAGGCATATTGGGAATGCTGTGACATAAATCAGGGGGCCATCAGGAGGAGCCAGGGCCAGCCAGCATTGTGATTTCATTTGGCCCAGCTCAGCCCTGAGCAATGCTTGAATGGAGGAAGGGAAGGGAGCCAAAGCCTGGGGACGGAGACTCCTGAGAGCTGACCGCGCGCAAAGTTTCCCAACCATCTAACTGCATCGTCTCTAAGGGCAAAGCTGGGTGAGGCCCCAGCTGGTGCTGCTGCTATCTAGGGGCTCTGGCTGGTGGGCTGGGTCAGTGGTCAGCAGTGGATACAGAAGACTTCCTCAGCCAGTTTCTTTCCCGCCTTGTCTGAGCTACCGGCTGTTGAGAGAACCTCCCACTTCTCTATCAACTCTGGGCCTTTGCACCTGATGCTTTCTTCAGTGCTTTTTTCTCCTGGCTCTTTCCTACTCATCTTTGAACACCCAGCTTAAAGCCACTTCCTCCAGGAAGCTGTCTCATAATAATAATAATTAAAAACCTGTCTCATAATAATAATCCTCAGCTGCTCCTGTCCTCACAGGTGTCTATCCAGGGCTCACTCTCACCACACTGCCGTATGGATGACTGTGCCCCTGTCTGCCTCCCTGCTAGCTCCTTGAAAAAGTCTAAACAGGCTTGATGTCTGGTCGGTGAGCTTAGGATCCAACAGTGCCTCTGCCACTTTCCATCTCCATGACTTTGAACAAGTCTCTGAATTTCTCAGAGCTTCACTTTCCTCATTGGTAAAATGGAGACAGCTCTTTTGAGGCTTGAATAAGATTAAAGGAAACACACTACGCGAAACTTTGCAGCCACAATTCAGGTGCGCAAGAAACATCACACTTACTTATTTTCTTTAGTTCAGGTTAAGTCTGACTGCAGTAGGCTGGAGGGAAGTTTCATTGCCCCTACTGGGCCTTCCTTCCTTCCTTCCCTCTCTCTCTGCTCACACAGTAATATTGGAAACTTTCGTGATGTGCAGAGAATGAGAGAAAGGCCTGAGATCTGGAGTCCCACCCTGGACATCAGAGATTTGTGCACTGGAGTGTGCAGGATGAGGTAGCAGGTAATAGGAAGCGGTCCCACCTCCATCACACACCAGCTATGTAGCCATGGGAAATTTGCTTGATCTCTCTGACTGTCAGTTTTCTCCTTCTTAACATGGGGATGATGATAGTGCCAACTCCACAGGGTAGTTCAAAGCACACAGCTGATCTATAGAAAGCTTTTAGCATAGAGTGAGTGCAAAGCATGTTGATTTAAGAAAGGTTAACTAGGCCGGGCACAGTGGCTCACGCCTGTAATCTCAGCACTTTGGGAGGCTGAGGCGGGTGGATCACTTGAGGTCAGGCGTTCAAGACCAGCCTAGCCAACACAGTGAAACCCGTCTCTACCAAGAATACAAAAATTAGCTGGACGTGGTGGTGGGCACCTGTAATCCCAGCTACTCAGGAAGCTGGGCAGGAGAATCGCTTGAACCTGGGAGGCGGAGGTTGCAGTGAGCCGAGATTGCGCCACTACACTCCAGTCTGAGTGACAGAGCGAGACTCCGTCTCAAAAAAAAAAAAAAAAAAAAAAGGAAAGGTTAACTATTGCTATTATTAGTATGTATAATGGGAGTCAATGTAAATTAAAATGATTATTATTGATGGTATAGTCAGCCATCTTGCTAATTCTTTTGTTTCTAATAATTTGTTTATTGATTCTTTTGGTTTTCAATGTGATCGCATAATCTGCCACTATAATTTTGTTTCCTCCTGTCTGAACTTTACTCCTTTAATTTCATTATCTTGTCTTATGACCTGACTTTGACCTCTGCAGCCATGCTAGGTAGAAGGGGTGACAGTGGGCATTGTCCTCATGTGGATTTTAAAGGAGATGCTTCCTATATTCCCCACAAAGAATGATGTGTTCCCATAGCCTAGAATTCCCCAAACTTTTTGGTACCAGAAACTGGTTTTGTGGAAGACAATTTTTCCATGGAGGGAGTAGGGGCGGCGGGTATGGTTTCTCATAAGGAGCATGCAACCTGGATCCCTCACATGCACAGTTCACAACAGGGTTGGAGCTCCTGTGAGAATTGAATCCCGCAGCTGATCTGACAGAAGGTGGAGCTAAGGTGGTAATGCTCGCTAGCCTGCCACTCACCTCCAGCTGTGCAGCCTGGTTCCCAACAGGCCACAAATCAGTACAGGGTGGTGATGGGGGACCCCTGCCACAGCCTTTCAGTAAATTAAGGTAATCAGTGTGTTTACCTTCTTTCATGCCTGTTTGTGGATCTCTCTCCACTGACCTTTAGACCCTTGACAACAGAGACTGCATCTGCCAAGAATTGGACAAATTCCCCCAGGGTTGAACTTAGCAGAGACTGGCATTAGCCAAGGGTCTAGGCTGCCTGCTCCATCCTGAGGCTGCCCCTGAGTCCAGCCTTCCACCCCATCTCCTAGCCCTCACCTCTCTCGCCAGATACTGAGTCCACCAGTGTTTTGATCTTGGACTTTCCCGCCTCCAGAACTGTGAGAAATAAATTTCTGCTAAGCCATCCATTTTCATTATAGCAGCCCGAGCAAGCTAAGACACCAGGTGAGGGGTCTGGGGCCTGGAGGACCATTGGTAGAGTCAGGGCCTTGGGGACTTGCTTTTGGAAACCCTGCCTGACATTATGTAGGAATGTGAAATCCCTAACATTTCTCATTAAATACAAATTTGCCATAAAATAATTTGAAATTATCCGGGGACATTTCTTGCTCTTCTTTTTGCTACCAAACCATACTTTTAAATTTTGTTACAACATTTTTCATATGTACAAAAAGGAGACAAAGAATAATACAGTACAAATCTGTGGGATTCACCACCTAACTTAAGAAATAAAATGCTACCTAGAGGGTTGAAACATCCTGTGTGGCCTCTCTGATCCACTCTCCTTACAGCAGAGATAACTACCACCCTAAATTTGGAGGATATTGTTCCCATTTATTTCCTTAAACTTTATATATATTCCTTACAGAGATCTAAAGTGTTTGCCTTTTTTTCAATTGTTACAATGATCTATTAAAATAATTTTTGTAATTTTGCATGTGAAGTTCTTTTGTTACGAGTTACATAAGTTATGCTTGTTCTGATTTTTTAGTCATCGTTAGTCACTTAAGTTCTTGAAGAAGGAGAATAATCTAGCCAATAAATTGATTTCAAGTGTTATGACATGTTTCAGACATAGTTTATAAAGTTGAAGTAATAGTGTGTTTTGTGGACATTTAGCAAAAGGGTCACTAATTTTGACTTTGCAGTTTTCCTTTCATATTTTGAAGCCAGTAATTTTTTTTCTCTAGTCTTATAAATGTTTACGTGAGTACGAAGACCTCCTAGGACCTAGCACTTTAAGGACTTCACACTACTGCCTCTCCCAGTCTTGCCATGAGAGTCCTCGATGGGTACACAGCAGCATTGATATCAGAAGCCAAACTAAAGGTGGTGGTTTGGAGCACCCACTGAGCCAGGCCCCTGTCCTAAGCATTTTGCATCTGTTAATTCACTGACTCCTATAAGGTAGGTGCTACTGCCAGCCCATTTTCCAGAAGAGGAAATAGACACAGCATGGTCACGGCTAGGTAGAAAGGGGTGGGGCTGGGATGTGAACCCAGGCAGTTTGGACACTTCATGATGCTTGCTGCCTGCCATTTTCTGAGCCCCAAATGCACACACATGTACATGTATTTTCTCAGACTCCTCACAAGAACCAGGAATCATCCCCATTTTACAGGAGAGGAGACTGGCCCAGAGAGGCTCAGGGACTTGTTCCAGGTCACACAGCTGAAAGTGACAGATTCTGTGATTCCAAACACTGCCTGTGCCTTTAAGTACTCCACACGACTGCCTCTCCCAAACTTGCCACAAGGCAGCCAGGGTGAGTTCCCTATACCCACTCACTACCTCCATCTCACCCCTCTTTCTGCTGTACAACCTTGCCGGGGAGGGGGGCAGGCGGCGGTCCTGCACGTGTTAAGAGAGGGCGTAGACAGGCACCAGGTGCCAGAGGACCTGACCTCACTGCAGTTCTCTGCCTCTATTAGCCCAGGGCCCCTGCAGTCAGGAGGAGGCTATTTGCAGGCCCTTGGCCCAGGCCTGGCCTCTCCTCACCCCTCCCCACCATCCTTCTCTTTCTCTGGGCTGCTGTCCTGCCCAGGGCAGGTGGCAACCTGGCTGGTTGCTTCCCAGGTGCGATAGTCTCAGCTGACTGCCTCTCCTCCCCCAAGATCGAGACTTATCGGTCATCAGAATCATTCCTGCCATCCAGACCCAGCTCAAGGTCATCCCCAGAAGGTTCCAGCACCTGCTTGCTGCACGGGCCCCCTTCTGCCTTGCCTAGAAATGGGGAGAGAGGGGGTGGCTGGTTTTTTTTTTTTTTAAGAGCCAGATCCTTGCCTGGAGTCCTCTATATTCCAGTGCAGGGAACAGAGCCAGAGTAAAGTTAGAAGGTGAAAGGACAGCAGGCTTTAGATCAGAAGACCAGGGTTTGGTCCCAGGCTCTGTGCCTCCCTTCTGTAACCTTGGACTAGTCACTTTCTCTTTCTGGGCCTCAGTTTCCCAAACTAGAAAGGGTGTTGTGGGGCTAGACACTCTCCAACATCCTTCTCTTCTAGGAGTGTGTGACTAAATCTGTCCCCTGAACCAGAATATTGGGTTTGTGACAGTATTGAGTTTATTATATTAACATATAATAAAAATTATATAGCATATTATAAATTAATTTTTCTTTAGTTAGAAATACTGGCAAACTCATCCCTTGCCATTTCAGGAGGAAGCCTCACGACTGTTCAGCCAAGAAGGAAAGAGGAGACTAAGATGGACCCAACATCTAGAGAAGAGAAGGTGGAAGCAGAGGCAGAAGTGAGAAGTGGGAAGCAGCAAGTGGGAAGGGAAGCCCAGCTTTCCAGTTCTGGCAGTGCAGAGCACTAGAACAGTAGACGGAGCTTTTACAAATGAAACGCCTGAACCTTACCGTAGCCAATCAAATTGGAATTTCTGGGAGTAGAGCTGGGTACGAGTGTTTTTGGAAACACCCCGGATGAGTGTGATGTTCCACGAAGGTCAAGAACCACCATTTAAGAGCAGTGGTTCTCAAACTTTGGCGTGCCTCTGAACCCCCTGAAGAGTTTGGTAAATACAGGACGCCAGACCCCACCTGCAGAGTCTCCCACCCAGCAGGTCTGAATGGGGCCTATATTCATTTCCTGTGGCTGCTGTAACAAATCACCACAAACTCGGTGGCTTAACCAACAGAAATCTATTCTCTTACAATTCTGGAGGTATGAAATTAAAAATGAGTCTCACTGGGCTACCATCAAGGTGTTGGCTGTGTTCCTTCTAGAGGCTCAGGGAGAATCTGTTTCCTTGCTTGCCCCCTCTTCTAGAGGCCACCTGCACTTAAAAGCTTTTTCCCACTTTGGTGTCTTGATTCTTTTTTTTTTTTTTTTGAGACAGAGTCTTACTCTGTCACCTAGGCTGGAGTGTAGTGGTGCAATCTCAGCTCACTATAACCTCTGCCTCCCAGGTTCAAGCAATTCCCGTGCCTCAGCCTCCCGAATAGCTGGGGCCACAGGTGCCTGCCACCACGCCTTAGCTAATTTTTGTGTTTTTAGTAGAGATGGGGTTTCGCCATATTGACCAGGCTGGTCTCGAACTCCTGACCTCAAGTGATCTGCCCACCTTGGCCTCCCAAAGTGCTAGGATTACAGGCCTGAGCCACTGCACCTGGCCTTGGTGTCGATTCTTTATGCTCTTGAGATCCTTGGAATGTATATGTTCTTCCATACCTCCCTTCTGTTTCCTTCACTGAAATTCAAAGTGATTGATATAACAGTACTCCCTGTAGCTTCTTTTCATTTTAACCAAGCCTAAATCAAAGTGTTTTTTTAAAAAATTATAACTCCTATTTTCTTATAAGGATACACAAAACGAAGCAAGATTATATAAGTCAAAGGAAGTAAAAATGAATACGGTACAACAAGGCTAACGACATAAAATTGAACCAGTAATGAAGCTACTGTAAAAAGACAGACCATGGAGTTGTGCACTTTTGCTGCAAGTGGGTACATATTTGGTGTAAAGTTTCCTGGCAGCCAAGACCAAAAGGGAAAACTAGTTAGTTACATAGTTCATAACTGTCCATGTGGTAGAAAATTAATCTACTGCTTAGGAATATGCAGCTGAAAGACCAGAAAGACCCTGTGGAAAGTGGGAAGCCACACCCTCAAGAACATCTTTCCAATAGATTCAAAGACGAGTTTTATGAAATGTTTCTTCTGGCAAAACACAGGAGAGTAAAGCTGATTCTGTAGGGAATGTTGTGCGTCCACCCAGGGATTCATTCTTCTCTTGTTCTGGCTTAAACCTGGGTTAATTTTAGAGTGTCTGGATCATCTGGTTGACCTTAAAGGAGAGTTAGATTCCCAGAAGAAAGAAGGTCGGCCAGTTAGGAAGCATTCTGTTGCTTGATAATTGCAAGCAACAGGAAGTCCAGCCCTATTGGCTGAAACAAATATATTTCTGGACTCGTGTGATTTGGAAGCTCAGTGGTAGTTTTAGCATCAGACAAGACTTTACTCAGAGCTTAAATGCTCTCACCCTCCAAGTATGGGAGTATCCTGGACCTCCCCAAAATGCAACTAAAATGTTAAAGCCCAGCATAGCAGTGGGCCTGTGTAAGTCCTTCCTTCCTATAGTGACTTGTCAGATTAGGTCTGATTAGTCAGATTTTGGAAACTATTCCTATATTTCTTCTTTATATTGACTGGAGAAGAGAAGGTGTTTTCCCCACCATTCTCAGTGAAAGTCCCGAGTTTCAATCTGATTGGATTAGATTAGGTCACACACTCATCCCTTAACTGATCACTGTAGACTGGAAAGCACTAATTAACCTAGGCTGGATTACATACCCTAACTTTGACCTCACTAGACCCAGGATGAGCAACTTGTCTGGGAACAGGGAGCAGAAACAGTGGAGCAGAAACTCTTGGGTTTTAGAATCAGACAGATCCAGGTTAGTTCATTTATTCATCAATTCAAAACACTGGGTGTAACATACCAAATAAAACATATCTAGTCCCACCCCTAACATAGATATTAAACCAGTGTATCAGTTATCTATTGCCATGTAACAAACCACTCCAAAACTTAGTGACCTAAACAATGACCATTTTATGTGCTCACCGTTGTGCAGGTCAGCAGTTTGGGCTGGGCTCAGGTGGGTGATTCTTTTGGACTAATTCATGTGGCTGCAATTGGAGCTGGATGATCTAAATGGTCTCACTCCTAGGTCTGGCTGTTGATGTTGGCTGTTGGCTGAGCCAGGGGCCGCCAGCAGGCTAGCATGGGCTCTTCACTCAGCAGCAGGGTTCCCCAAGAGGACAAGCCCAACACACATGTGCTTTTCAAGCCTGTGATTATCAGGCTTGAAATACTGCAACATCTGCTGCAATCAGTAACAACCACATAAGAAAGCAATGACAAGTTATGATTACTGCTCTGGAGGGAGTGAGCAGGATGCTGTGAGAGAGGGTTACTATTCCAAGTGGCACCTGGGCCAGCAGCATTGGCATCACCTGGGACTTGTGAGAAATCCAGCATCTCAGGCTCCACTGCAGGTCTCCTAAATCAGAATCTACAGTTTAACAAGATCCCCAGCAGATGTGTGTGTAAGGTAACGTTTCAGAAGCTGGTGACTATTGGGGACAGAGGAGTGAAGGAGGGGGAAGAAACAGCACAGCTAGTTTATGCCACTTGGTGTGCTTCTCACATCCTTATAGTTTCTGCCGTGACCTGGCTACCAAGCCAGCAGGGGCCTTCTTCCACTGTCCTGGGGCTCCATAGGAGAGCCCCACATTCACAGTCTCACAGTGAGGACAGCTTTGGTTCAGTGGGTATCACCCAGAGGCAAGCACCTAAAACTGGAGTTCCACTGGGCTTGGCAGGGAGCTTGCCCCTGATACGTGGGAACAAATGGGGCCTCTGTTTATGCATACACAGTGCCAGGTGGGGACAGAGGCCAGTGTTGGAGCAGCCAGTTCTGAGCTCCCTAAAGACCCCTAGGAAAGCCAGACCCTCAGGGCTGCTTGGTCCATCAGCCCCTCACCTGGCATGGAGGATGACAGTGAGTTGTCAGGTCCACAACCATAAGGCTGTGAAGAGGCTTTCCTGGTGGGCAAGTGGGTGGCATTCTAGAATGCCATGCTAGAATGACTGTGTGTCCCATTTGCACAGGGCAGTCCTGTTGACACCTGCCATCCTGTTGTAATTATTAATAATGCCCTTATTCTGGTTTGGATCATAAATTGAAAGGGTCACCCTACTTAAAGCCTGAGTTTAATCTCAGAATTCAGGAAGGTGCCTCTGAAAGAGCACTGGACCCTGAATCAGGAATAGGAACTCTTGTCTTGCCCTGCTTCTGGCAAGCTGGGGGACCTCAGGCATGTCCCTTTTTCCTTCTGGCTTCAGTTGCCTTATATGTCAGAATCGAGGGGTTGGATCAGACAATCCCTGCTAGCTGGGGAGTAAATGAATGTGAAACAGTATCCTTAGGGGTTCTGCTCCATCAGCTCCATGTTGATGAGGACATTGTTCTCTCTCTAGTATCTTTGATTCTATGTCCTCTGGGGACCCCACATTCTGCTAGTTCCTCTCCTGGTCCGCAGCTTGCAGGAACCCTGAACTGGTGTCTCTGAGGCTCTGCCTCGGGGCTCTGTGCCAGTGGGGCCACACTGCCTGTCTGCCTGCCTACTCACCCATACTCTGCTGCACTGGGACCCTTCTTTAGCCTGTACTTCCTAGTTGTGTGACATTTGGGACAAATAACTTAATCACCTGTGACTGTTTCTCCATCTGCCATGGGAGATAGCAATGTCATTCTTGCAGGATCATGGATAGTGCACACAGCGTCCGGCCCATAATAGGGACTCACCAAGGCACTTCTATGCCTCATATGTCTTCAAATTGACCACCTGGAGGGCTCAGCTCAAGTCTTCAATGAGTTGAGAGCTAAAGGAAGTGATTTGCAAGTGTGAAGACTCTAGAAGTTTCCTCTCTGTAACACTCTGCAACGCTCTGAACATTTCCTTTTTTAAAAAAAATTATTTACTTGTTCATTTATTTAGAGACAGGCTCTTTCTCTGTCACCCAGGGCAGAGTGCAGTGGTGTGATCACATCTTACTGCAGCCTCCAACTCCTAGGCTCAAGCTATCCTCATGCCTCAGCTTCCCAAGTAGGTGGGACTGCAGGCAAGGGCCACCATGCTCAGTTAATTTAAAAAAATATTTTGTAGAGACAGAATCTCACTATATTGCCCAGGCTGATCTCAAACTCCTGGCTTCAAGTGATCTTCCTGCCTTGGCCTCCCAAAGTGCTGGGAGTACAGGCATGAGTCACCATACCTGGTTGTAAGTGGAAGTTTCTATGAAAGTTCTCACTCCTCAGCTCTGCCTCACAGACTACATGCTCCACCTGCCATTTGACTAATTGCAGGGAGGAAGGAGGGAAGCAAAATGGACACTTTATCCTTTAAAAGGATCACATAGCTCCTGAGGGCTTTATCCTAGCAACAATATGTTGTGAAATCAAACTTTCTTGCCTGACTCTTGCTTCTGCGGTCTTACTTTGGGACATTTAGCTCCAGCAGAAAGAGCACCACCTCTGCAATCTGACAGCCTTGTCCCCTCTGAACTCTACCTTTCTCTTTTTGACAAAGAAACATTGTCCCCAACTCACAGAATCATGGGGGTTATGCTAGGTGGGATTGTAAAGTATCTGTCCTGTGGTAGGACTCAATAAACTTAGAGCTTTTCCTGCCTTTTGCCCTATTGTCTTTCTGATTGCTGAGAATATATACTTTTCTGTGGGGCAAGATAAGAAAGCAAGAGTTTCAATGTTCTAGTTTCTACTGCTGCATAACAAATGATCCCCAAACATACCTGCTTGAAGCAATAGGTTTTTTGCTCATGATTTTGTGGGCCAGAAATTTGGGAGGCTTCTCTGGGCAGGTCTTGCTGAGGATTTCTCAAGTAGTTATGGTCAGATACTAGATGGTGCTGTCATCATCTGAAGGCTCAAATGGGCTGGGTGTCCAAGATGACTCACTCACCACTGGCAGAAGATGCTGACAGTTGGCAGAGGACTCCATTTGAGACTGTCAACCAGACCACCTACATGTGCCTCTTTGGCATGAGAGTCTTGGCTAGTTGGATTTGTTACATGGAGGCTGGTCACGAACTTCTGACCTCGAGTGATTCCCCCCACCTCAGCCTCCCAAAGTGCTGGGATTACAGGCGTGAGCCACCGTGCTGGGCCCAGAAATTTTTCGTCCTGCGAAACTGACACACTGTACCCATCAAACAGGAACTTCCCATTCTCCCCTTCCCCCGCCCCTGGCAACCACCGTTCAACTTTCTTTCTATGAATTTGATTACTCTAGATACCTCATGTAAGTGGAATCATACAGTATTGCCCTTTTGTGACTGGCTTATTTCACTGAGTATTATGTCTTCAAGGTTCATTCATGTTGTATCATATGTCAGAATTCCCTTTTTAAGACTGAATAATATTCCATTACATGTAGACACCACATTTTGTGGGTTTTTTTGTATTTTTATTACATATATATATATATATTATGGAAATAGTGTCTGGCTATGTTGCCCAGTCTGGTCTTGAACGCCTGGACTCAAGTAATCCTCCCACCTCAGCCTCCCAAAGTGCTGGAATTACAGATGTGAGCCACCACACCCACCACATTTTATGTATTCACTCATTCATAGATGGACATCTGGGTTGCTTCCACCTTTTGGCTATTGTGAATAACGCTGCTATAAACATGGATGTACAAATATCTCTTCAAGACCCTTCTTTTAATTATTTTGGCTATAGACCCAAAAGTAGAATTGTTGGGTTATACGGTAATTCTATTTTTAATTTTTTGAGGAGCTATATTATTGAGTTTTGAGAGTTCTTTCATATTTTAAATAGAAGTCACTTATCAGATACGTAAGTTGAAAATATTTTCTTCCAGACCATTATTTATCTTTTAATTCTCTTAGCAGAGTCTTTAAAAAATCAGAACTTCTTAATTTTGTTGAAGTACAATTTATCCCCCAAAATTTATGGATTATGCCTTTGGTGTCGTGTCTAAGAAATCTTTTCTTTGAGAAGTCCTATTGTTTTCGATTTTACATTTAGGCCTATGATCCACATTAAGTTAAATGTTGTAAGTAATGTGAGGTATAGATTGAGGTTTGTTTTGTTTAGTTTTTTCATATGGATGTCCATTTGTTCTAGCGCCATTTGTTGAAAAGTTTATTCTTGGCTGGGCGCAGTGGCCCATACCTGTAATCCCAGCACTTTGGGAGGCTGAGGCAGGCAGATTGCTTGAGCCCAGGAGTTTGAGACCAGGCTAAGTAACATGGTGAAATCCCATCTCTACAAAAAATACCAAAAAATTTAGCTGGGCCTGGTGGTGCACACCTGTAGTCCCAGCTACTTGGAAGGCTGAGGTGGGAGGATCACTTGAGCCCCAGAGGTTAAGGCTGCAGTGAGCTGTGATCAGACCACTGCACTGCAGCCTGGACATTGGAGAGAGAGAGACCCTGTCTCAAAAAAATGAAAATAAAAGTTTATTATTTCCTCACTGAAATGCCTTTGCAGCTTTGTCAAAATTCAATTGACCATATATGTGTGAGTCTGTTTCTGGACTCTATTTTGTTCTATTTATATATACCAGGAGTGTCCAATCTTCTGGCTTCCCTGGGCCACATGGGAAGAAGAGGTGTCTTGGGCCACACATAAAATACACTAACACTAACGATAGCTGATGAGCTTCTTGAAATTGCAAAAAAAACTCATAATGTTTTAAGAAAGTTTATGAATTCGTGTTGGGCCACATTCAAAGCCATCCTGGCTGCATGCAGCCCATGGGCTGCAGGTTGGACGGGCTTGATGTATACTATTCTCTCACCAGTACCAACTATCTTGATTATTATAGCTTTGGAGTAAGTCATGAAATTAGTAGAAATTCCCTAACTTCGTAGTTCTTGATTGAAATTATTCTGACTATTCTAGTTCCTTTTTTTTTTTTTTTTTTTTTGAGATGGAGTTTCGCTCTTGTTGCCCAGGCTGAAGCGCAGTGGTGCAATCTTGGCTCACTGCAGCCTCCACCTCCTGGGTTCAAGCAATTCTCTTGCTTCAGCCTCCTGAGTAGCTGAGATTACAGGTGCCCGCCACCACACCTGGCTAAATTTTTGTATTTTTAGTAGAGATGGGGTTTTGCCATGTTGGCCAGGCTGGGCTTGAACTCCTGGCTTCAGGTGATCCACCCACCTTGGCCTCCCAAAGTACTGGGATTGCAGGTGTGAGCCACCATGCCCAGCCCCATTGCCTTTTCATACAAACTTTAAAATCAGTTTGCCAACTTTTTTTTGTTGTTGTTGTTTGTTTTTTGAGACAGAATCTCTCTCTGTCACCCAGGCTGGAGTGCAACGGCGTGATCTCGGCTCACTGCAACCTCTGCCTGCCGGGTTCAAGCGATTTTCCTGCCTCAGCCTCCCGAGTAGCTGGTATTACAAGCACACGACACCATGCCCGGCTAATTTTTGTATTCATTTTTAGTAGAGACAGGGTTTCACCATGTTGGCCAGGATGGTCTCGATCTCCTGACCTTGTGATCCACCCGCCTCGACCTCCCAAAGTACTGGGATTACAGGTGTGAGCCACCACGCCTGGCAGCTTGTCTACTTTTACAAAAAAAAAAAAAATTCTGCTGGAATTTTTATTAGAATTGCATTGAATCTAAATCAGTGTGGGAAGAATTTATATCTTAGCAATATTGAATTTTCCAATCCGTGAACATGGTATGCCTCTTCTTTTTTTTAAGGTTTTCTTTGTTTTTGTTTTGTTTTGTTTTGTTTTTGTTTTGTTTTATTTTGTTTTGAGATGGAGTTTTGCTCCTGTTGCCCAGGCTGGAGTGCAGTGGCGCAGTCTCGGTTCACTGCAACCTCTGCCTCCCCAGTTCAAGCAATTCTCCTGCCTCAGCCTCCCAAGTAGCTGGGATTACAGGTACCAGCCACCACGGTCCTGGCTAATTTTTTGTATTTTTAGTAAAGACGGGGTTTCACCATGTTGGCCAGGCTGGTCTTGAACTCCTGACTTCAGGTGATCCACCCGCCTCGGACTTCCAAAGTGCTGGGATTACAGGTGTGAGCCACTGCACCTGGCCTCTTTGATTTTTTTTATTAGTTTATAGTTTTCAGCAGACAGACCTTGCACATATTTTGTCAGATTTATACCTAAGTATTTCATGTTTTCTGGTACTATTGTAAATAAAGCTTCAATTTTTTTTTCAAATTCCAATTGTTTATTACTAATATATAGAAATTTATTTGATTTTTTTATGTTGACCCTTCCCTTTGATTGTTAATCTTCATTATAGATTAACTTCCCTCTTACGTTTCTCACATAAAGACTTTATGGCTATCACATTGCCTTAAGATGGAATGTTAAATATACTCTTTTAAATTGAGTGAGGAAATGAAAATCAGCTGTAAAGAAAGGAAAACAAACTGTAGAGAAAAGAAAACAGACTATCACTAATTAATTTGTTGTAACTCTTATACCACTCTTGTATAGAAAATGCTGTAATCCCATTAAATTTCTTTGTTTTCTACCTGTATTAGCAAGAACTTAACTCTTAACTTTGGAGCACGGATCCCATTTCTCTGGAGTCTTTGTCTCCTGGATGATCATTTTCACCTTTTCACCTGAATAAACTTTAAACTGGATTCTGATCCTTTTAATTCTTTCAGGTTTATAGAGAGAAGATTCAAGCCTCAACAGGCCAGGTCAGTTGGACAAGGTGACTTTTAAGCCCTCTTCTAGCTTCATGAAAACAGATCTGAAACTTGCCTGATCTCAGAAATGGTAGTAAAAACACCATGTACCTGAATGGTCTGGTGGCAGGTATGTCCTGTGCACTTAGTATTCTCTAAGTTCTGGGAGGGGCAGGTTATCTGCCAGTAAGAGGCAGGAGATTCCAGCATCCTGGTGTGCTTAACAGTATCATCTCATTCACCAGACAGGCAGCCCTTGTGCCTCTCCACTAAGGCTAACTGCCAGGAGGATAAGGTGTGGGTGGGTTTTATTCACTGCTCCATCCTCAGAGGCTAGCAAAATGCCTGGAAGAGGGAGAAATCTCTAGTGTTTATAGACAGACCAACACTCGTACCCTGAAAGGACACAATACCACAGGGGATTGGTAGAGGTAATGATTACAGGCAACAGATTGTTCAAAACAACTATATTTAGACAAGTATATTTTTGCAAAACAGCGAAAGCTCAGTGTTCCTTTCAAAATGAAAACTTTCCTTTTCCATACCTCACTATCAATTATTTCAGTCTCAGATATGCCCCGTTCTGTTTCTCCCACAATATTTGACTTAATTAACAATACAGTCGATTATTTACAAGGAAGTTATTTCTAAAACTGTAGTTCAAAATCACATCTGATTTTTTCACCTGACTTTTGTGGTATAGTTGTTTTTGTTTTTAATGATGTTGCCGGGGTTCACTTTTCCCAAAAGTAGTTTTTAAGAGTAAAAAACTGGGGGGAAATCATAAATGGCCAAAGAGGTTAAATAAATTATGTTACCTTCATTAAGTAAAATATTTGCAGCCACTATAATGATGTGAAATTTTATTTACTGGTAAGAAAAGTTCGTAAGGCATTACTGAGTGGGGAAAAAATCAGTTTATAAAACACTATGTATAATGTGATTCCACCTTTTGTTTTTAAAAAATATTTTATATATTTAAATATATTAATATGCAAATATAAGAATACCTAAATATAAGTATATAAACATTCTAGAACAATATACAACAAAATGTTGACAATGGTTATCTCTAGGATTTCAAATCATTTTTGTATTCTTCATATTTGTTATAACAGGGTTCCTTTCTTTATTTTTTATTTTTATTTTATTTTTTTTTGAGATGGAGTCTGTCTCTGTCACCCAGGCTGGAGTGCAGTGTTGCAATCTCGGCTTACTGCAACCTCTGCCTCCCGGGTTCAAGTGATTCTCCGGCCTCAGCCTCCTGAGTAGCTGGGATTACAGGTGCCTGCCACCACGCCCAGCTAATTTTTGTATATTTAGTAGAGACGAGGTCTCACCATGTTGACCAGGTTGGTCTTGAACTCCTGACCTCAGGTGATCTGCCCTCCTCAGCCTCCTAAAGTGCTGGGATGATATGCATGAGCCACCATGCCCAGCCAACAGGGTTTCTTCATAATCAGGAAAGGCTACTGTCATCTTATGAAAAACATTTCAATAAAAGTACATTTCCCTCTAAGAACACAGCTCTGGAATTATAACGTGAGCAAGTAGAAATGAACAAGAACTAGATCTAATACAGGTTTCATAAAGTCTTCTATTACCCAGCTCTCTTGTGGCCCCCAGAGCTGTCCGTCTTCACTTGCCAAACTGTGCCCACAGCAAGCCCCCTTAACTCCAAGTCCTGGTACTCAGCACCACCAGCCTGGGCCTGAGTACCTCTCCCTGAGCTGGGCCTGCATGGAGCAAAAAATGTGTAGGCAGCCAGAGTCCTAGCTGCCCGGGAGGCTGAGATAGTGTTGCTGCTGATAAAGCCACTGTCCATCCAGCAGGGGTGAGACTCTTTAGACAATCTGTACAATCTCTGGGCACAAGAGTTTTCCTTTCTCTGTCTTCCCTCTCTTCCTCGTCCCTTTCTCTTTTCTTTCCTTGCTTCAACTTTCCTTCCCTTGCTTCCACTTCCCTTCCTTCATTTTCTCCATCTCCCAAGCACCTGGAGGTCACAAGGGACTCAATGACGAATCACCCACAGTCCCCCTTAAGGGACCTGCAACTAGAGAGGGAAGCAGGTGAGTCCTAGAGTCCACCTCTGTGTGCTCCGTGCCCTGAGGGAGGGCCTCCTGGAGGAAGTGACATCTGCCTTAAATCCTGAAGGATGAGAATGAGTTGGTCAGGAAAGACAGTGGATAAGAGCCCAATCCTCATGGGCAAGTTGGTTGCTGCTTCAGGTTCCTGACTGGCCCTCCTGTTCCACAGGACCAGTCCTGCCCAGGAAATGGCTTGAAGCCATTCGTTGGCTGGGGTGAGCTCCCTGGCCATCTCACACTACTGCCTCCCTGGCAGCCCAGCCCACCTGGCCCTATGATGGCAGCAGGGCCTGGCTGATGCTCACCCCATAAATGCAGCTGAGTCAGGGTATGTTTCCACACTCAGGACTTCCTGGAGGGACTTGCACAACTGCTCCTGCCAGGTCATGCCCAGGTTTTCTAGTTCTCACCATCAGCTTGGCAATTCTTCCTTATTTTGAATCCAGATCCTTCCTGCTGCATTCAATCCAGTGTCTTTTGCTTTATCCCCAAGGTTTTAAAAAATGAAGAAAAACTGGTCTCCTTGTTCTGTAGGAGAACAGCTGTTCATCTAGAAAGCCGTCCCTCCTTCATTGTTAAGCCCTTGGGCTTTAAGCAAAGATGTGAGGTGTGCTTTAAGCAAGAAAGTATTTGGGATCTTTCTCATTACTCTCGCTTCGACCATGGACCACCCTGGGCACTCAGATCCATTTGCCATTTGGGGGCTATAATTGAATTAAAGACCAATTCAGAGATTATTAGCTCATATGGAACACTGATTGTCTCTGTGAATAAATCCACTACCCTCTCCAATTTTCTCCTAGTAACTAGTAACAGTTTTAAAAAGTATCCCATAACTAGTAACAGTTTTAAAAAGTATCCCTTATGAAGATAGACGTTGGAGAGGTCAGTTTCGGGATGAGTCAACCTTGAAGTTAGACATGGGAGCTGGAGTCCAGGATAGGAGTATTGCAGCAAGGGTGAGGAGGCTCACTAAGATCATTCAAAGGAGAACAAATAAACATCCATTGTTGTGTAATTTTAAAATGTTTTAATACATTCTACTCACGGGGTGTGGTGGCTCACGCCTGTAATCCCAGCGCTTTGGGAGGCCGAGGTGGGCAGATTACTTGAGGCCAGGAGTTCGAGACCAGCCTGGCCAACATGGCAAAACCCCATCTCTACTAAAAATACAAAAATTAGCCGGGTGTGGTGGCGCATGCCTGTAATCCCAGCCACTCATCCACTCATGAGGCTGAGGCAGGAGAATCTCTTGAACCCGGGAGGCAGAGGTTGGAGTGAGCCGAGATTGTACCACTGCACTCCAGCCTGGGCGATAGAGTGAGACTCCGTCTCAAAAAAACAGAAACAAAAACAAAACAAGAAAACATACATTCTATTCAACAAAGGAGAGGGAAAGATGGTTTGGAGGGAAGTGCTGGATACAGTCAGAAGGAAGCATCCATTGGGGAAGTTGGTTTGGAAGAGTTGGAATAAGGTCGGAGGCGGGAGTCTTGCCAGGATGGAACAGAATCCAGAACTGCTGCCTGGGCAGCTCCCACCAGAGCCAGTAGGGACAGAGGGACCCTGAGGTTGGGGGACACGAAGGACTTTGGGGTCAGCGTGTCTACGCAGGCCTTTATCTCCTTCCTGTATTCTGTCATCGTGGATGGTAGCCTTCAATGGAGAGGCCACATGGGCAAGCCCTATCCTCCTACTCCACTCTATGTTCATCTGTCAAAGCCCTTTGAGTGCATCCTCAGTGCTCTGTAGGTCCAATGCTCTACCCACTTTAAGTTCCTGTAGGGAGTTGGAGAAATAAGTTGTGACATGCACACCCATGTGACTCTTGCCCTCTCCCTGCACCTTTAACTTCTGATTCATCCCATGCATGCAGCTTCACCTGCACATGCCCAGGGCGTGTTCTGGTGTCTTCCCTCATGCCGAAATCAATTCAGTCCAGAGAGGAGGTGACTGGGAGCCACCATGGGGCATATCACTGGTCTTTAACTGGCTGTTGGGTCCAGAGGCAGGACAATCAGAGACCCCTCTCAGGGCCTTTGCTCTGTCCTTAGAGGTAGAAGGCAGCCTGTGCCCCAACTCCCTCACCCCCTACAAACCACACTCCAGGCAAGGGTGGCCAGCAGTAGTCTGTGGGTCGTCTCTTCCTTGTGAGCACATCCTGCCACAGCACTGCTTCACAGGAGAGAGCCATGTGGACAAGCCCCATCCTTCTATTCTACTCTGTACTCATCCAGCAATTGCTGCAGAGCCACCCCATGGTGGCTCTGCAAGTGGCTAAGGATACAGGGCTTAATAAGACACCATCTTTTGTAGCCAGCCTCCAAGATGTATCCTTGGGATCCTTGCTTCTGGCATTCACACACTTCTCGGCCCCCTCTCACGTTGAATCAGGGCTGGCCTTGATCACTGGATTACAGTAGAAGTCTCAGCAGATGATTTCCAAGGTGAAGGCTTGTAGTTTCCACCTTGCTCTCCTGAATGGCTCGTTCCAGGGTAAGCCAGCCACCAGACCATGAGGACACTCGAGCAGCTCCATAAACAGGACCCCAGGGAAAGATACTGAGCCCCTGGACAATAGCTAGCATTCATTTTCCAGCCATGTGAGTGACCTACCCTAGAAGTAGACCCCCAGCCCCAATCAAGCCCTTAGATGACACATGACTGCAACTACATGAGAGATCTCAAACAAGAGCTGCCCAGCCCTGACACTTCCAAATCCACAAAAATTATGACCGTTTTTTTTAAAAAAGATTATTGCTGTTTAAAGCCACTGCATTTTGAAGTGATTTGTTATGCATTAATAGATAATAAAAAGCAAACTGACTTAGCCATTTTTATTACTGTCCTAAATTCTCTGCAACAACATCCCTCCTTATGTCCTGCACACTGGGTAAACTACAGCACCTGCCATGTCCTGGATAGATGTATGGGAGTGGAATTGCTGGGAATTAGGATAGGGGTATGTTGGCTTTTACCAGTTTATTTTCCCACCAGTAATGTATGAGAGCTTTATCTCCTCCACCTCCTCAACAACTCTTGGCATTGTCCGTCTTTACCATTTTAAGCCATTCTGATGAGAGTATCATAGAATCTCATTGAGATTTTATTTTGCATTTCCCTGACAACTAATGGTGTTGAGTGCCTTTTCAGGTGCTTACTGGCCCTTTAGGCACCCTCTTTTGTAAAATGCTTATTCAAGTCTTTTGCCCCCAATGTTTGTTGGTTTGGTTGCCTTTTTCTTATTGATTTGTAGGAAACCTTTATATATTCAGGATATGAGTCCTTTGTCAGATATATGCATTGGGAAAATCTCTTGTCCTCTTCTTAATCTTTTGATTAAAAGAGCGTTTTGTTTTAATGAAGTCTAACTTAAAATTTTTAAAAATTTATAGTAAGTGCCTTTTATGTCCAGCTTAAAAGATCTTTGCTTGGTCATGGAGACCGCCCCCCACCCTACTCTGTTTGCTTCTAGGAGCTTTATTGGTTTACTTTTCACATTGAAGTCTATGATTTATCTTGAATTAATGTGTATGGTGTGAAGAAGGGGTCAGAGTTCCTTTTTTCCCCTATGAATATGCATAGAAAAGAACATCCTTCTCTCTATAGAATTGCATCAGCTCCTTTGTTGTAAGTCAAGTGACCATATATGCGTGGATCCATCACAGACAGTTTTAAAAGGTATAGATTTCCAGATCCTCAACTTCTCTATGTCTTCTTTTCTGATGTGGATCTATTTGCCTCTGCAGTCAAACCTCAAGCCAGTCTTCTTTTCCCATCTCATTCACCTTTCCAAATAAGGCCTCTAACCCAAGCCCAGTCTGACCATGGTGCCTGAACTAGACATGTGCAAACCGCTGGGAACCCAAACAAAGCGGCGATTGGAGAATGCACACCCCTGAGAGAAAGACCTCTTCAAAGCACAGAGAGCATCTGCTGTAGATATTGAGGGGAACAGCACCTTGTTCCATTTGAGGGACAAATTCTAGGTGGCAAGACTCTGTGCATTGTCTATTTTGCTTAGAATTAGAATTTAGAATTGAAATGTTATGGGCAGGCTTTGTCTTGAGGCTGTGTATTAACACATTTATTTGAGTTTGAAAATGATTTCAGATTTTCTTTTGATGGTTAATAAGTCTAATTGGGCTGACTGGGTTGGCAATGAATTCTGGCTTTGCCAATTAGCTTATATGGCAGACATTTTCCATAAATTAAACAAACGAAATATGCAACTCTGAGGTTCTGGAGAAAATATACACAACATGAGGGAAATTATGGTTTTTTGCAGCTGTTAAAATTATGATATGAAATTTAGATGTCAACTTAAAATTGTGTAACAGAGTATACAGTTTTCCAAAATTTATTTAGGGGATGTACAACAGGAAATGTTGAAGACCACTAGTCTAAGGCAGTGGTTCTCAACTCCGGTTGCAATTGGAATCACTTAGAAAGTTTAAAAGGTGATGATGCCTGTGCTTCTCCCCAGGCCAATTAAATCAGAAAAGCCAAGAGGGAATAGTTTAAAAGCTCCCCAGGTGATTCAAAGTGCAGCCAAGCCTCAAACCACTTGCTCTGTCCTCCACCCTGCCCTGTTTCTCTGTACTCACGGCCATCTCAGCCCCTCTCCCTTCCTCACCCCCAATGCTCAAGGCTGTCTCTCCAACCCCCAGACCCATATCTAGCCCCAAGCCTAGACGTTACCTCTTGGACATTCCCAGGCCTTTCAAACATAGCATGTCCCAAACCAGTCTTGGCAACATTTTTGATCACGCATTAGTAAAAACTGTGGGGAGTGTATATCCCAAAATATGCATATTAAAAAAAGCATACATATGAATCACTATGTTAATATGTTATGTGCATTATTAAGTGGTTATAAAACAGAAAATATAAAAGTATGAGGCCAAAAATTAGTATAAATATAGGTTTTAATATTTTCTCTCTACATTCTATGGACAACCTCCATGCCTTTGCACATGCTGATCCCTCCTCCTGGAATTCCTTTCCTACTTGTCCTCATGTACAATTTTCTGCTCGTCCTTCAAGGGGCAGCTTGCAAGCCTCCCTTTAGACACCTCTACAGGTACAGCCGACCATGCCCTACCTCCATGGCACTGCCAGGGGACCCTTATAGGCCTCTGTCTTTAAACCTGTAATGGTATATTAATCCTTGGTGTTTGAATGTCTCTCTCTCCCCTGCCAGCTCAAGAACCTGTTGAGAGGAGCACCTAGCATAAGACCTGGCTTGTGACAGGTTTGTAATAAGTACATTGATGATGCAGTGAGTTGAATAGTGGAGTGAGCGAAGAGGAGGTGGTCAAAATATCTAACAACCCATATAGTGGCTAGGTGGGGGATGGTGGTGGGAAGTTCAAGGGCATGGCACCAGCATCTGCTTGACCATCTGGTGAAGGCTTTCATGACAGAAGGGGAGAGGGCAAAGAAGTACATGCAGAAGAGACCGCAAGGGCAAGCTAAGCTCACCTTTATGATGAGCTGCTCTTGTGAGAACTAATGCACTTCCTAGAACTAACTCAATCCTGTGTTAATGGCATTAATCCATTCGTGAGGGCTCTACCCTCATGACCCAATCACCTTTTAAGGCCCCACCTCCCAGTTCCATCAGTGGCAACTAAATTTCAGCATAAGTTTTTATGGAGACACTCAAAACATACTATATACATATAGTACGCCTCTGCAGTCAAACCTCAAGCCAGTCTTCTTTTCCCATCTCATTTACCTTTCCAAATAAGGCCTTTAACCCAATCCCAGTCTGACCATGGTGCATGAACTAGACATGTGAGATTTCATTTTGCATAAATATATATATGTATATATATATATATATATAGTATATATACTGTGTTTCAGGTGTCCCCATAAAAATTAACATTTTTATATATCATATTATATATAACATATATAACATTTATATATCATATTATATATAACATATATAACATTTATATATCATATTATATATAACATAACATTTATATATATCATATTATATATAACATATAACATTTATATATCATATTATATATAACATATAACATTTATATATCATATTATATATAACATATAACATTTATATATCATATTATATATAACATAACATTTATATATCATATCATATATAACATATAACATTTATATATCATATTATATATAACATATAACATTTATATATCATATTATATATAACATATAACATTTATATATCATATTATATATAACATATAACATTTATATATCATATTATATATAACATATAACATTTATATATCATATTATATATAACACATAACATTTATATATCATATTATATATAACATAACATTTATATATCATATTATAT
Organism: Homo sapiens; assembly: GCF_000001405.40. NCBI lineage: Eukaryota > Metazoa > Chordata > Mammalia > Primates > Hominidae > Homo > Homo sapiens. The sequence continues at coordinate 89,508,965 of NC_000015.10, read as the reverse complement.
ATAATACATAACATTTATATATATCATATTATATGTAATATATAACATATATATCTCATATTATATATAATATATATAACATTTATATATCGCATATTATATATATTATATATAACATTTATATATCTCATATTATATATAATATATATAACATTTATATATCTCATATTATATAATATATATAACATTTATATATCATATATAATATTTATATATCATTATATATATTCATATATCATATTATATATAATATTCATACATCATATTATATATAATATTTATACATCATATTATATATAATATTTATATATCATATTATATAATATTTATATATCATATTATATATAATATTTATATATCATATTATATATAATATTTATATATCATATTATATATAATATTTATATATCATATTATATATAATATATAACATTTATATATCATATTATGTATAATATATAACATTTATATATCATATTATGTATATATAATATTATATATTATATATAACATTTGTATATCATATTATGTATATATTATATATTATATATAACATTTATATATCATATTATATATTATATATAACATTTATATATTATATTATATATTATATATAACATTTATATATTATATTATATATTATATATAACATTTATATATTATATTATATATAATATATTATATATAACATTTATATATTATATTATATATAATATATATAACATTTATATATTATATTATATATAATATATATTATATATAACATTTATATATTATATTATATATAATATATATTATATATAACATTTATATATTATATTATATATAATATATATTATATATAACATTTATATATTATATTATATATAATATTATATATTATATATAACATTTATATATTATATTATATATAATATTATATATTATATATAACATTTATATATTATATTATATATAATATTATATATTATATATAACATTTATATATTATATTATATATAATATTATATATTATATATAACATTTATATATTATATTATATATAATATTATATATTATATTAACATTTATATATTATATTATATATAATATTATATATTATATATAACATTTATATATTATATATAATATTATATATTATACATAACATTTATATATTATATATGTAATATTTATATATCATATTCTATATAATATTTATATATCATATTCTATATAATATTTATATATCATATTATATATAATATATAACATTGATATATATCATATCATATATATTATATATACCATTGACATATATCATATCATATATATTATATATAACATTTATCTATATACATAAACATTTGACCCTTGAACAACACAGGGATTAGGGGCACCAACTTCCCAGGCAATCAAAAATTTACATATAACTTTTGATCCCCAAAAACTTAACTACTAATAGGCTACTGCAGATCAGAAGCCTTCAATAACATGAACAGTCAATTAACACATATTTCATGTGTAATATGTATGATATATTGTATTCTTACAATAAAGTAAGCAAGAGAAAAGAAAATGTTAAGAAAATCATAAGAAAGAGGAAATATATTTAGTGTTCATTAGGTGGAAGTGGATCATCATAAAGGTCTTCATTCTCATCTTCATATTGAGTAGACGGAGAAGGAGGAAGAGGAGGGGTTGGTCTTGCTGTCTCAGAAATGGCAGAGGAGAAAGATGTGGGGGAGGTGGAAGGGAAGGCAGGAGAAGCAGGCACACTCAGTGCATTTTTGTTGTTGTTGTTTTGTTTTGTTTTTTTGAGACAGAGTCTCGTTCTATCAACCAGGCTGGAGTGCAATGGCGTGATCTTGGCTCACTGCAACCTCCACCTCCTGGGTTCAAGCAATTCTCCTACCTCAGCCTCCTGAGTAGCTGGGATTACAGGCACCCACCACCGCACCCGAATTATTTTTGTATTTTTAGTAGAAACAGGGTTTCACCATGTTGGCCAGGTTGGTTTCAATCTCCTGACCTCGTGATCCACCTGCCTTGGCTTCCCAAAGTGTTGGGATTACAGGCGTGAGCCACTGCACCTGGCCAGTGCACTTTTTATTGAGAAAAATTTGTGTATAAGTGAATCCATGCAGCTCAAACCTATGTTGTTAAAGGGTCAACTGTGTGTGTGTGTGTGTGTGTGTGTGTGTGTGTAGAGAGAGAGAGAGAAGCAGAGAGAGAGTTTTTATAAGGAATTGGCTCACATGATTATGGAGGCTGCCAAGTCCCAAGATCTGCAGTCAGCAAGCTGGAGACCCAGGAGAGCTGATGGTGGAGTTCTAGTCTGAATGTCAGCAGGCTAGAGACCAAGGAAGAGCCAATGTTTTAGTTCAAGTCTGAAAGCAGGAAAAGCACTGGTACCACAAGCTGGAAGGCAGTTGACAGAAGGAGTTCCCTTCTCCTTCGGAGTGAGGGTCAACCTCTTCATTCCATTCAGACCCTCAACTGATTAGATGAGGCCCACCCATATTTGAGGGCAATCTGCTTTACTCAAATGATGATCTCATCCACAAACACCCTCATAGACGCACCCAGAAAGAATAGTGTTTGACCAAATGTCTGGGCACCCCATGCCCAGTCAAGTTGACCTGTAAAATTAACCATCACAGCAGCCAAGGCAGAAATGGAAGTGAGACAGTGGTGGTGGAGGAGCTGCAGCCAGCACCTGAGGCCCTGCCCTGCGGGAGGTCCTACAGAGATAATGCAGAGCTTACCAGGCCCTGTCCACCTGCCCACCCTCAGGGGCAGAGATACAGTCCTCCAGCCAGGAGCAAGGCTGTGCCAAGAGATTACCTCCAGCTTAAGGCAGAGTGTAGATGCCATACCCCAGTGGTTCTCAACTGGGGCAGTTTTATCTCCCAGGAGACATCTGGTAATATGTGAATACCTTTTTTGTTGTCACAACGAGGGGATGGTCATACTCCTGACCACTCACATCCAGTGGGTAGAGGCCAGGGGTGCTGCTAACGCACAGGACAGTCCCCAAAACAGAGATTGATCAGGCCCCAAATGTCATTGGTGCTGAAGTTGAGGAACCCTGCCCTCACCTTCTTTCCTCCACATCTTCCCTCAAGCTGCTCGTGGCATGCCCTTCTCCACTAAGCCAACTTGTTAAACCTCTTCACGGCTGAGATCATGCTGCTTTCTTCTTCAGATCTGCCACCCTCTAGCTGGGTGACTTTTAGACAAGTGATCGACCTCTCTGAGCCAGAGTTTCTACCTTGTAAAAAAAAAAAAATCCCTTCCTGCATGGTCAGCTGTCATGAAAAGGACACATGGTGATGGGCAGACAAAGACAAGGCTTAGCTTCGTGTTTGACTCCTAGGAGCGCCCAGTTCATGGAGGCTGCTGCTGTCACTAATCTGTTTCCATCTTCCCCTGGGAATCCTGAGGTTTATCTGTGAGCCTTTGGACTGCTGTATGGACAACATACTCTGCAGTAGCATGAAGAAGTGAGTGAAGACCCTCCCTTGAACCGTTTGCCCTGAAAGAACAGAAGTCACATCTTGATATCTCAGTGCCTTTACAGTGCCAGGGATGGGGTAGGTGCTGAGCGCCTGGTATGTGCTCACCCTATGCTGTACAACACACAGAAAGCCCCACAGGGTTTGAACTGTAATTAGGTAGAGGGTGTGTGGGACTCGCCTTGGGTCTCTGACTTTGGCTTCTGCTCCCGGCCTTGGATAGGCTGATATTTTCTAGTAGATATCAGAGACTCCGGTTGATAGCACCACAATGGCTTTTCTCCCAACTTTTTGTTTTACGTATTATCAAGCCAACAGAGAAGTTGCAAGAATAGCACAATGAACATGCATATACCCTTCACCTGGATTCACCACTTTTGTTTCATTTCTCTCAGTATATATGTTTGTGTGTGTTGGAGACATATGACATTTTACCTCGAAACCAGGCATCTCCTAGGAAAAAGAGCAGCCTCCCATATAACAACAATACAATGATAACCCTTAAAAAACTTTGCATTAATAAATCCCATTAGTTAATATACCATTCTTAGTTCCTTTTCCTCAGTTGTTCCAATAGCGTTTTTTTTTAAGATTTTGTCTTGATCCAGGAGCCAATCAAGAATCAATCAAAGCATTTTATGGATTTGTCACGTCTCTTTAGCCTACAATCTTTGCCCTCCTTGTTTTTTGTTTGTTTGTTTGTTTTTGACATCCATCACACCTACATTTCTTTTTAAGACTCCAGACCAGTTGTTTTGCAGAATATCCCTCAATTTGAGTTTGTCTGCTGCTTCTGCGTGATTAAATTCAGGGTATGCATTTTTGGCAGGAATAGCACATTTGGGATTGTGTCCTTCTTGGAGCAGCCCATCAGGGAGCAGCACATGATGTCCAGTTCCCCACTATTGCTGTTCTTATTTTTGATCCCATAAGTTGTCATGGAAGAGAGTTTTGCAGAGAGACCTACACCCTTTCCCCTCACTCCACAAGCCACCTACACTGAAGATCTCCCATGAGTATGGGGAGGCAGCCCTGTCTGTGGCTTTGAGGGACTAGAGATGATGGAGGCATGTCCAGAGCTGCTTCCCGGGGCCCCTAGCCCATTCCCCCAGCCCTAATCCCCGCTCCCAACTCCAGGGAGGGCGTGGGACCCCCTCTCCTGGGCCCTGCCTTTGCAGACTTTTCAGAGAGCACCAGAGGGGAATGCCATTACCCACCGTCATAGAAGCAGCACCAATTATATTTGTGACATTTTTCAGTTTACAAAAGACTTTCCTATTGCTTCTTTTCTTTTTATTTTTCTTTTTTTCTTTTTTTTTGAGATGAGGTTTCACCATATTGCCTAGGCTGGTCTTGAACTCCTGGGCTCAAGCAATCCTCCTGCCTCAGCCTCCCAAAGTGCTGAGATTGCAGGCCTGAGCCATTGTGCTCAGCCCCCATTCATTTCTAGTGGCAAATAGTAAAAGCTGCCACTTCATCAAGTACATACTACCAGTCTCGGGGTTAAAAGCATCATTATGCATTAAGGTCATCCCAGGTACTCCTGTCACCCTCTGTATGGATGGGGAAACCAAGGCCCAGAGAAGTTAAGCAGCTTGCCCAAGGTCCCCCAGCTAGGAAGTGGCAGGGCTGGGACTGGAGCCCGGGCCTCCTAGAGCCTCTGGGTCACTGTGCTAAGCACCAAGCTGCATGGTCTTTGAGCATCACAGCAAAATGAGAGCTGAGCAGCACAGACACGGAGGCACCCATTTGCAAATCAAGGAAATCAGGCCCAGACAGGGGGTGTGATCTGACAAAATTTGTGAAACTGGGACCAGCCCCAAGAACTTCTGAGTCCTGGCCTAGTGTCTCGCCACAGCCTCAGGCTGCGTGTGGGACCAAGGCCAGAGATGTCAAGGATGCAAACAGTCATCTATCAAGAGGGATGAGTAGAGAGAAGGGTGATAGCAGGGACAGTCCCAGCACCACGCCCTCAACACAGCCACACCAGAGCAGGGGAGACTCCACCTCACCTGGAAGAAAGACAGCCTGAACCACCTTTGCCTCGAAATCCATCTCCCTGCCTGCCAACGTGGCTACCACACCCTGCCTCTCCCTGGCTGGGGAAAGAACCATCGCGTCCCAGCCGTCAGTCATCCCTGCTTGTCAAGGCACACACATTTTAGGAGGAAGAGGCCGGTTCCTTAGGAAAACCCCTGCCTGGCCTGTTAGACTTGAGCAGCAGGTTTCTTAAACCCCCATCTCAGAGGACAAGGCAAGAATTCCACCTCTGGGTTGTCATCTGAAGTACCAAGCTGGGGTGGGGAGAGGGAGGTAGCCTGGAATCATGTGGTAGGGCATACATGAGACAAGAAAAGCCAAAGGGCAGAGGGTGAAGGTCTACCTATTATCTGCCCTGCAAATCCTAGATCAAAGTCCACCTCTTCCATGAAGTCCACCCTGATCACCCCAGGGCCCATCAAGCTCTCCTCAGGTATACAGGAAAGTGCTCATTCTGCTTTAACCACTGGGGCAAACTTGTATCTCCTTTTCTATGGTGCAAATCTGGGGGGCATGCTTATATAGTTATTTGGGCCTGATATGGAGCTGTGTGCAGTGGGTGCTCCGTACATGTTTTAAATAACTGAATAAATTGAAAGAATCCATTCATCCATTCATTCCATTGGAAAAATAATTAATGGGCAACAACCGCAAGCTAGGATCTCTTCTAGGTGTCCTTGCCCTTGGGTGCTGATGTTCTAATGTAGGAAGACACCATAGACAGATACGAGAAGCGCTAGGAAGAAACAGTGTATGAATGCTTGACGTGGAGGTTGGGATAGGAGAGAGTGGGGAGAGAGCCCTCCACCCTCCCGCTGTCTCATCAATCCCCTCTAGCCCCAGCCCCCTTTACCCACAAGGACAGACACTCCGCAGAGCACCTGGGCCTTGCCTGAGGTGGGCGGGCAGGCTGCTGGCCATGCCTTATGTGAGCTGGAGACAGAATGTTCTGGGAGGGGACATTTTTCCTAGGCTTCTGGAATAGTGGCCATTTTTTCTTCCAGGAGCACCAGAAATAAAACTGCCGGCCACCCAGGGGAGAAACTGAGAGCTTGGCCTTTACTAATACCAAGGGCAGTTGAGGAAGGGGACAGCTGCCTGGGGTGTTCAGAAAAGGGCAGTCACAGCTGGGCGTGGTGGCTCACGCCTATAATCCCAGCACTTTGGGAGGCCGAGGCTGGCGGATCACCTGAGGTCAGGAGTTCAAGACCAGCCTGGCCAACATGGTGAAACCCCGTCTCTACACAAATACAAAAATTAGCTGGGCATGGTGGTGGGTGCCTGTAGTCCTAGTTAGTCGGGAGGCTGAGGTGGAAGAATTGCTTGAACCCGGGAGGTGGAGGTTGCAGTGAGCCGAGATCATGCCATTGCATTCCAGCCTGGGCAACAGAGTGAGACTGAGTCTCAGAAAAGCAAAGCAAAGCAAAGAAAAAAGAGAAGAGAAGAGAAAAGAAAAGAAAAAGAAAAAGGGCAGTCACATCAAAATGCTGTGGGCTGGGACTAGGGCACCGGCAGATGAACTGATTTCCCCGCCTCCCTCCATGGGGCCTTCCTTGGCCGCTCAGTGTACATTGTACTCCTGGCCTCCTCTCTCCCGCTTTCCTCCCCTCTGCTCCACACAGCATGTATCACCCTCCCACATGCTGTCTGCTTTACCTATCTATTGTTAAACACAGTAGATAAGTAAGGTACATACTACCAGGTTGTTTGCCAACCTTCCCCACCATTCGTAGAATGCCAGCTCCACCAGGACTAGGATTGTTGCTTCATTTGTTCACTGCCATGTCTCAGCACCTGAAACAGTGCCTGGCACATACTAGGTGCTCAAAGAATATTATTCATTCCTTCCTCAATCCTTCAAGAACACTCCCCAAGTGCCTCTTCTGTGCCCCCACACTATACTGTGAGCAGGGGACAGATTTATAAATAAGATGTTACCCCTGTCTTAACAGAGTTGATGGACCCTCTAGGGAATGAATGACTTCAGAGGGTGGTGTGCTCCCCACCCCCCTCATCCCAAAAGCTCTCTGTCCTAGCCCAACTTTCAACTTGGACCTCCAGTAACTGGGCCTGTAGAGCCTGCAGAGGTGGTGCTAGCAGTTGCTACTGCTGTCTGTGGTCTCATCTTCTCAAATATTATGCAGGGGGCACTAGGAGAGGGCTTCACTGTCTCCGGGTGGTAGGACCTCACACAGGGGACAGGTGCCATGATCGATGTGGCTGGGAGGATGCTGGGTGTGGGAAAGAGAGAAGAATGTGGAAAGGAAGAAGAGGGCATGCTGGGAGGAGAGGCAGAGGAAGCCGAAGAGGGCAGCCTGCAAACCCCACACAGGATGAGACACAGTGAATGTGGTTGAGGTCACTCCAGGATCAAGGGTGAGGCCTTTCCTGGGTGACTTAGGTCCTGGCAGGGCTGCAAGAGGCTGTGAAGCAATGCACTCGGCTTGTCCAACCAGAGAGAAGGCTGCATGTGAGTGGGGAAAAGCAACAGAGGGGCTAGCTCCTCTGGGCTGGGGGGCACCTTGCAACTAGAAGCAGCTTTGGAAATGACCCATTCACAATCTTCATTTCACAGGTGAGGACGCAAGCCCAGAGAGGCTAAGAATTTGCCTGAGATCACCAGCAGAGGGAGACAGAAACTGGACCCACACCAGGCCAGGACTCCTTCCACCATCCTACACTTACCTGCCTCAGTTCTTCAACCTTGATTACCTATCTTTCTCTGCAGAATCTCAAGTGGCACATGCTTTTCAATTGTTCCAGGCACTAGGAAAAAAATGAACAGGAACTGAGGGCATGTCACATGCCAGGCACTGTGCTGGGCTCTTCGCCATGCTGTATCTCAGAATAAGTCTCACCAGCTGGGTGCAGTGGCTCACGCCCGTAATCCCAGCACTCGGGGAGGCCGAAGTGGGAGGATCACTTAAGCCTGGAAATTCAAGATCAGCCTGGGCAATATAGCAAAACTCCACCCCTACAAAAATACAGAAAACATTAGATGGGCATGGTGGCACAGACCTGTAGTCCCAGCTACTCAGAATAAGTCTCACCAAGACCCGAGGGGAGATAACTGTCTCGATTTTACAGATGAGAGAGTAGAGACTCAGAGAGGTTGACAATTTGCCCAGGGTCACACAACTACTCAAGAAGCAGAAGTAAAACCAGGGACGTCAATGCCTAGCTTTCCCTCTGCTCCCCCTATTCTGCAGGGGTCACGCCACCCAGGCCCTCAGGCTGTGGAGGCTCTGACAGTTGGTCTTGCCGCAGAGAAAGGGATGAAGAGAAGACTTCTGGACTGGAAGAGGCTCCCTGGGCCCCTTCCTTGGTTGGTGATTGCTGGGGCTCACTGAGGTCAAGAGAGACCTAGCAGCTTCCTGGAATAAAACAAAGGGAGAAATACCATAAAGGGTTAAATACTATGGTATGTTGATATACTATAAACAAATAATTTTTTCTTTTTTCGAGATGAAGTCTTGCTCTGTCGCCCAGGCTGGAGTTCACTGCAACCTCCACCTCCCGGGTTCAAGAGATTCCTCTGTCTCAGCCTCCCGAGTAGCTGGATTACAGGCGCCTGCCATCACAGCCAGCTAATTTTTGTATTTTTAGTAGAGACGGGGTTTCACCATGTTGGCCAGGCTGGTCTCAAACTCCTGGCCTCAAATGATCCACCCGCCTCAGCCTCCCAAAGTGCTGGGATTACAGGTGTGAGCCACTGTGCCCGGCCAGGACTTGTTTTTGAATGTTAATTCATGATGACCTATATTAGTTGAGTGGCCCAGAAATGTAACCCAAGAAAAAAACCATCTGATAACAGTGTCTCCCTTGAACCTTGTATCCCCTTTGTAGTCTGAAGCCCATCGTTTGTACCTTGAGTCTACCAAATATGAAGGTCAAGGGCAAACGGCCTTCTTGTGCTGGCTGTGGGTAGTGACCGTGCTTGGCTGTGGCTCCAGGTCTGTCCCACTGAGCCTCTGCAGGGCTTGTGAGTCAGCGTCTCTCTCCTGGACCCTGTACCCTGCCCCATCAAGGAGTCCCCCAAGGGGGTCCCGGGTTCCAGCACCACAGGTGTGCTAGGGGACTCTGGAGGAGGTCTGGATGGGAGGGCAGTTCTCACAATGAGCAAGACACCCCGGCTTCCCTATCCTTTAAGCAGGCCAGCCTGGTGAGCAGGTCTTCCACCTGCCCCCTCCCGGCCCAGGCTTCAGGGACCACGCCACCCACTGCCCTCTATCCCATAACGCCACTGCTCCTGTGGGGAACCTAGATGCTCATGAATCTACTTGCAGCAGCCTCCCCCACCCCAGCCCTTGTCTCCCTCCCTCCACTTACTCCCATTGCCGTGTACTTGAAGTTTTTCTCCCCAGCAGTGAATGCACATGCACGAAGTCAAACCCTCCTTCTCGCTCCTTCCAGAGGGGACAAGCAGAATGGCACAGTAGAAAGACTACAGCCTTTGAAATCAGACAGCCCAGGGTTTGAATCTCCAGCAAGTTCCTTAGCCAATCTGAGAACTCAGGTTTTTCAACTGTAGCATGTACCTACAATGTCCACTTCACAAGTGTTTAGTTGAGAATTTAAATATATATCAAAAGGATCCGGCAACCGCAGGAACTTAATAAATGGTCCCTATTGCTGGTATTGCTCATGCAGTGTCTGGCTGCTTCTTTGCCAAGGGAGTGGGGATACCCTGGTACCCCAAGCTGGCACAGTGTGGCCACACTCAAGTTCCAAGCACCCTGATTAGGTGCTTAGCCTCAGATGTTATACATGGCATTAGTGGCTTTTACAAATCTGGGATTTCAACTGGCAAGATTTTTTAAAGCCAGCATTGGCAAGAGTGCATGGGAAAAGTCACTGACCCCTGGCTCACAGGGTGCATGCTTTGTCTCGTAAAATCTTTCTAGGGGAACATCTAGAGATATGTATTGAAACAGCTCTGCCTCCAGGAATTCACAGAAAGTTGTGCAAAGACTTACATATCTGGATGTTCATGACAGCATGATTTGTAATACTAAACAAATAAAAAATGACCTCATCGCTCGTCACCTAACACTAGGGATTGTCTAGATAAAGCACAGTATATCCTGCTATAAAAGTTATGTTGTGGCAGGCTGGGTGTGGTGGCTCATGCCTGTAATCCCAGCATTTTGAGAGGCTGAGGTGGGAGGATCACTTGAGCCCATAAGTTCAAGACCACCCTGGGCAAGATAGGGAGACCCCATCTCTACAAAAAAAAAAAACTTAGCCGGGCGCGGTGGCGCACGCCTATAGTCCCAGCTACTCAGGAGGCTGAGGCCAGAGAATGGTGTGAACCCGGGAGGCGGAGCTTGCAGTGAGCCGAGATCACCCCACTGCACTCCAGCCTGGGCAACAGAGCGAGACCTGTCTCAAAAAAAAAAAAAAAAAAAAAAAAAAAATTAGGTGGGCCTGGTGGCACATGCCTGTGGTTTCAGCTAATTGGGAGGCTGAAGTGGGAGGATCACTTGAGCCCAGGAGGTCAAGGCAGCAGTGAACCATGATCAAGCCACTGCCCTCCAGCCTGGGCATCAGAGCAAGACCCTATCTCAAAAAAATAAATAAATAAAAAAGAAAAAGAAAAAGAAAAAAAGTTGTAGAAGTATAATATGGGAAGGTGTTTACAAAATATGAAAGGAGTTAAAAACGCTATAAATTAGTATGATCGTTTGAAACACTCCCCCTGCTCCCCTCCAGCCCCTCTTCAATGAGCTAGGAAAAGACTAGAGTACATACACCAAAATATTAGTATTGCCTCTGGGTGGTGGGATTATGAGTGATTTTTACTTTCTTCTTTGTGTTTTTCTGTATTTTCCAAATCTCTACAATTATCTCTGTATTTTTAAAGAAAAATTAGAAAATCAAATTTATTTTGACAATATACAGACTAAGCAGACAATATACAGACTGTTATACTGCTGAACAGAGAAACATGGGGATCATTGGCCTCCCAGTGAGATCAGAAGGAATTCCCAGACCTAAATATTATGGTTAACTCATGTCAAGATCACAGATCTTAACCAGAAGACAGTTCCTGACTATGGACCAATGAACTTGTGAAAAACTCTTAAATTGTTCTTACAATCCTTTATACGTGTTTTTTTTCTTAAAACCCTTGTATTTTGGAATAATTTTAGATTTACAGAAAAGTGGCAAAGACAGTCCCCATATAGCCCTTACTCAGTTTATCCTACTGTTAACATTTTACATAACCATGACATTTGTCCCAACTAAGAAAACAACATGGGAACGTCACTATTAACTAATTTTCAGGCTTTATTTGGATTTTACCAGTTTTCCAATTAACATCCTTTTTCTGTTCCAGGGTCAAGTCTGGGGTAGCACATCACAGATGTCTCCCCAGGCCGCTCTGTTGTGTGACAGTGTCCCAAACATTCCTTGTTTCTCATGTGCCCTGTATGAATTTCATAATCAGAAAAAGAAAGGACAGATGATGATGCAGATGATGATGGCAGATGATGATGATGTTGATGATGATGACTTAGGTCTGGGAATTCCTTCTGATCTCACTGGGAGGCCAATGATCCCCGTGTTTCTCTGTTCAGCAGAACAAAAGGAGAAAGGCCCCAGTATCAACGGGACACACAGAATTTGGGGCACCCTGATCCTCCTGCCCACTGCCTTAGCCTCTGCTCCTGCCGCTGTCCCCCAGCCCGACGCGGGGAATCTTTTGGGGCCCTCGGCTTGGGTTGGGCCCCTGCCAGTTGGGCGAGCGCGCGGGCGGTGCCCGAGTCAGCTGCTCCGTGCCCCACGTGGCCGCCCCGCCCCCCTGCCCGGGTCTCAAAAGCCCCGCCGGCCTCCGAGCGTCCGAACCGCCCGCTGCCAGCCCGGCCAGGCACCCCTGCAGCATGGCCTGGAACACCAACCTCCGCTGGCGGCTGCCGCTCACCTGCCTGCTCCTGCAGGTGATTATGGTGATTCTCTTCGGGGTGTTCGTGCGCTACGACTTCGAGGCCGACGCCCACTGGTGGTCAGAGAGGACGCACAAGAACTTGAGCGACATGGAGAACGAATTCTACTATCGCTACCCAAGTAAGTCTCGCCGCCTGCAGGCCCAGCGGAGGCATATCCGCGCCGGTCCCCACCTGGCCAAGGGCTCGGCCCAGAGCTGGGCAGAGGAGGGGATCTACCCTGCAGCCGCGGACTCCGCATCTCGCCGGCCTCTGCAGGGCATGCGTGGGAAATTGTCAGATGTGCACAAACTCCTTTTCCCCGTGAAAAACTAGTAGGGAAAACACCGGGATGAGGTTTTTATTTGACCGCCCTCCCAGCCGTCAGAGCCCCCCAACATCCCTGTCAGAGAGCCCTGCTTGGTATACTAAGAAGATCCGAGTCCTCTCGCCCCATTACCAACCAGTGGATGACCTGGCTCCCTTGTCCAGAGGAGCGCTTACTCCAAATAAGCGCCAGCCCTGCTGTGGGCAGAGGTGTTGTGGGACCACTGGTGGGCCAGGAGGCCAGGACACCCACCCCCTTTTAGCTTGGAGAGGGAAAACAAGCGCCCCTGAATCTTCTGGTGTCAGCGGTGCTGTGGTTAAGAGCATGACCCTACAATCACACACCTCCCTTTCTCTCATGCTCTCGTGGCTCTTGCCACAAACCAGGTGGCTGGCCTCAGGCAAATGCCAACCTTCCTAAACCTCAATTTCCTCATCTACAGAATGAAGATAATGGTAGGACCTCCTTCACAGGGGTTGGGGTGAGGCTGTGGCGAGGAAGTGCATGTAAAGCTCTGGCAGAGTTGGGGTGGGATCCTTTCTTCATAATGGAGCAATTGCTACAAGAGCACCAAACACAGGTGCCCTAGGACTCAGGAGCAGGGAGAGCTAGCCCAAGGTCACTCTGAGCTGCCCGACCTCTGGACTCCCAGCCTGGGGCTCTTCCCAAAATCAGAATGCCCTTGTACTTTCTGATTTTCCACTCCATCCGCCATCAGCCAATGAAAATTATTCTAGCCGGTGGTGTTCATGTAGTCATTGACTGTTAGCTTTGAAAGGGACCCTAAAGCCCCTCTCCAGCAGCCGCCTATATCAACTGGTATTCCCTCCACACCTTAGACATTCTCGGCAACAGGGGATTCTCTATCTCCAAGAAAACAACTGCACACTTTCAGAATGGCAGCCTGCATGAAAAAAGACTGCGTTTGGGGGGCTGCAGGCTTGGTGGGAGCCAGCCATATTAAGTGGCTGCCAAAAAGTTAGGGCTATCATGGGCTGCATTTAATAGTTACTTGGTGCCTAGAAGGGAAGTAACAGATAAGGGGTGCGCCCCCTGCTGGGGAGACCACAGTTTCTCCTGGGCTCCATTTAGGGCTGTTTTTTAAAAGATATCTTAGACAGCTGCAGCCTTGGGATTCAGGCTCCAAATCCACTGTTCACATTGTCCACCTTTCCTCTCCTCAAGGGGGGGACTTTCCAGCAAACAGTGAGGCAGGCAAGCTTGAGACCCTCCTTTACCTGTTCTTCTCCCTCCCTCCCGCACTTGCTTCCCACTTGACCCCAGAGCATAAGGGGCAAGAACTCCCATGGGCGTTCACAGGTCCTCAATGTGTCTGGGGAGTGGAGGACCTCAAGACCTTAAATAGGCTGGGTGCGATGGCTCACACCTGTAATCCCAGCATACTTTGGGAGGCTGAGGTGGGAGGATCGCTTGAGCTTGGGAGTTTGAAGCTACAGTGAGCTATGACAGCACCACTGCACTCCAGCCTAGGTGACAGAGTGAATCTCTATCTCTCTCCCTTTCAAAAAAAAAAAAAAGAAAGAAATGAGAGAGAGAGAGAGAGACCCTATAATAGGAGCTGCAGAACCTCACCAGTGGGGAGGTACAGTCCTTACATCTCCCCAGCTCTTATCCTCCTCGCACCACACTTGCCCACCCACCTTTCACACCCCAGGTTAATGTGTTCATGCAACAAGTGCTTATCTGTAGTGTGATCATACAATTTATCATCATCAGAGGACACCTCTGAGAGTGAAGGTGGTGCTGGTAGTAATTTGCTGGGACCCATGGATAAGCCATGACTGTCCTGGCAAATCAGGGCTATGGTCACTCTGGATAAATAAGTTGAATATCCTGGGTCTCTGTCCCCAGACTTTTTGGAAGCAGAGAGGGGCACCGTGGCACCCAGGGCCTCAGTGGGACCAAGTGCTCTGAGCAGAAGTGATCTGTGATGGCTTCCTGGGAAGTGGTGGATGGTGAGGAGGGGAGAAGCCGAGCAGCCAAGGGGGCCACTAAAAGGGGGTGGTGTTGCGAGGAGGGGCAGTGGTTCTGTGTGGCCCAAGAGTAGGGTTTGTGAAAGGGATGGGGTAAGGATGCTAACAGGGGGAGAGCCCCAGCATCAAGGAGGGCCTTGAGTTTCCCCTGCTAGTTCTCCTGGAGAGCTCTTGGCCAATGGAGCAGGAAGCAACAGAGGAGAGGGGTATAGGGGAAGAATCTTGGCAAGAAGTAGTGGCCACCCCTCCAACCGCACGTGCATTCTCTCCTTTAATCATCACCACCACCTGTGAGGGAGGTGGTGTGATGACCCCCATTCTACAGATGAGGAAACTAAGGCCAGAGCGGAGAAGTGTCTTGCAAAGGTCACTCAGCTGGGAAACCAGGGAGCGAGAGGAGCAGCCCTGGGGTCTGAGCCCACACTCCTGGCCCACTCTCCTCCCTAGTCTCAACCTTCCCCCTTTCCCCCGCTCCACTCACCGTGGCTGTGGTTAGGAGTTAGAGGGCACAAGGCTTCCTGGCCCATGTGAGTCCCCAAGCCTGGGTTCCTGGGCAGCGAGGTGATTCCTAGGGGATTGGGGTGAGGGCAGGCTCCAAGGTGCCTTCCCTGTTCCTGGATCCAGGCCATCAGCAGCTGTGCAGGCCTCGTTTCTACTCAGGGGATGAGTGAAGCCTGCTGGGCATCTCCAGTTTCCGGAGGAGTCCAGCTCCAGTTGGCTTGGCCCGAGGGTAGCTCCCCAGGCATGGGCCCTGCAGCAGGTAGCAGGCATGGAGCCAGCTGGGGACTCACGTTGGCAGTGCCCTCGGAGGCCCGTGATGCAGCCAGTGGCTGTGGTTGCTAAGCACGCAGCTTCCCTGTGGGCTGGTGCTCCAGGGTCTGGGTGAACCGCTGAGGGCAGTGGCTTCAGGGAGGCTGGCCCAAGGAGGAGCCACCAGGGCTTGGACTCCAGAAGCTCCCTGGAAGACCAAGGGAGGAGTGGGACACATTTCGGGAGATGACCCAGGGCGGAGGAAGCTCTGGTTTCAAACACCGGGAGGACTGTGTCATGAGGCCGAAGCAGGCTCCATTTGATAAAGGACGAGCTTACCCACAGGCAGAAGGCAGTGGAACTTTAGAATTAAACAGATCCCATTCGGGTGCATCACTGCATGGAGGAGCCAACCACCTCGCCACAGTGAGCCTCAGCATGCCCATCTTAAGGTAGAAATGTTATTTAAAGTACAGGATCTCTAAGAAGACTCAAGATGACAGGTGACTGGTAGGGCACTCATCTCCTGGCATAAAGGGAGAGGACAGTAAATGCTGCCACTGGGCTTCCCCAGAAGGGAGTAAGTGCTCCTTCCATGAAGGTGTGTAAGTATCAGCACCTTGTTAGAAACATGGTGGAGTCACCTCTCCCTATATTAGTTGGAACTATTATAGCATTTAAATTCTTTTGTGCACTTCCCAATCACAAAATGCTTTTTGCCTGCCCTGTCAGGTGGGGCATTTATAATTTCCATTTTATGATGGAGGTAATGGAGGTTCGAGAGGAGCTGGACACTCTCAGCCAGCCAGTAGCACAGGCAGGGTCAGAGCCAAGCCCCCACCCCAGGGCCTACCTGCTTTCCAGGGTCTTCTGTGGCATTGCTGCCCCCTGACCATCTCCCCAGGAGATTTTGCAGTGTTGATGTGGAAGAGGTGGGCACGGAGTCTTGGGGGAATTGGGGAACTGGCCAGTAGGTCTCAAAGAAAACAGTTAGGCTGGGCTGCGAATGGGAGGGGGAGGGGGGCAGCACCCAGCCCCTGGAGGGCACCATCCTTCGTGTGCTGATGCAGCAGAG
Source organism: Homo sapiens (assembly GCF_000001405.40). NCBI lineage: Eukaryota > Metazoa > Chordata > Mammalia > Primates > Hominidae > Homo > Homo sapiens. Next base: position 89,492,355 of record NC_000015.10, on the reverse strand, counting down.
GGGAGGGCTGCAGAGGCCCATTAGTGTGGGACACTTTGTTCCCCTAGACTCAGCCAGCCTGGTGGGGGACTCGTCTACAGAGGGAAGCAGCAGGAGCTAGAACGGGGCTGGGGGCTGGGAGTAAGGGGAGAGGGAGAACAGCTGGGTACTGGTGCCCCCTGGAGGCCAGAGTGCCAGCCCTGCCCCATCAGGGACCTCCAGGTTGAGGAAGCCAGTTCTGGGCAGGACAGCTGGAGTCACCAAAGCTGGGGAGGGAGACTGAGGGTCAACTTTGTTGACCCTCAGCAAGTTGCCAACCCAATGCAACCTTGTCAGTCTTGAAAGAGGAAAAGAGAAATAATAACTTATATGATGGGGCAATTTCTAAAGAGCCAGCTGCCTTCGCATAGGGCTTTGATTGCGTTATACCATTACATGTGTGCTACAAAGCTCTGCAGTGAGCACTGTCCAGGGGCTGTTACTATCTCCCATTTGACTGACAAAGAACCTGTAGATCTGAGAAGTTCTGTCCTTTGCTAAAGGTCCATACGGTTTGGACCCTCAAATCGTCACTATTAAAAATCTTTTTTTTTTTAATTTTTATTTTTTTGAGATGAAGTCTCACTCTGTTGCCCAGGCTGGAGTGCGATGGCACAATCTCAGCTCACTGCAACCTCTGCCTCCCGGGTTCAAGTGATTCTCCTGCCTCTGCCTCTCGAGTAGCTGGGATTAAAGGCGTGCACTACCTTGCCCGGCTAATTTTTGTATTTTTAGCAGAGATGGGGTTTCCCCATGTTGGCCAGGCTGGTCTCGAACTCCTGACCTCAAGTGAACCACCTGCCTTGGCCTCCCAAAGTGCTGGGATTACAGTCATGAGCCACCACGCCCAGCCTAAAAATCATTTTAGGTAGCATCATACTTTATGAAACAGAAATTAATAAATGGATACATTTTGATGCTGAATTAAGACCAGTTTGACAGATAAAGAGATGGGAAGCAAGAGGACAAATTGGGGAGGTGCCCAAGGAGAAGGAAGTGGGTGTCTGTGTTCCTGACGGAGGGAAGAGAAGAAAAGAGACACCCCCAGACAGGGTGAAAAGGAGAGACAGGGCACCCACCAGAGCAGGGAGAAGAGCAGGGTGAGAGGGGACAGGCAGGGAGGATGGACCAGGAAAGCGAGGGCTCCCTGCTCCTGCTCTCAGGCCACACAGAGGCCAAGGCAGCCCTGAAACCACACACACCTTCCCCTGCAGCAGCGGCTCCCTTGGTCCTCTTCAGCTTCGCCCCTGCCAGCATGTCGCCTCTATACCACCAGGCAACTGACACCCTTCTCATCGAAAGGACCCCACTTGCGGTGATGCTGTCTTCCCCCAGGGGCTCCTCCCACCTCCCTGCCAGCGTGTCCTTCGTCTTCTCTGCTAGCTTCAAGGCACAGCCAGTTCTCAGCTTGTGTCTCTCTCTCCCTTCATTCCCACATTGCAACTCACAGCTCTATTTGCAGGCCTGGCCAATCTCAGACCTCAGCTCCAAGCCCCCACAGCCAGGCTCCATTTCTCCCCCTAACCCCCGCCCACCAGCCCAGCCCTCACCCCCCTGGTCATCTGAAATTCACCACGGCCAGGCCAGACCCAGCACCTCCCTCCCACGCAGCAACCTCTTCCCACTGCCTTGTGTTTGTCAACAGCGCTGCCATCCTGTCATCCTGCCAACTCCCCTCCCCGCTTCTGGAATTGTCATCTGAATTTGTCACCTCCCTCTCTTTCACACCTCTCTTCCAGTCTGTCACCCATCAGTTCTTCCCAGAATAACCATAATACCATTTATGGTGCTTCACATACATCAGCTCAATTTCTTCCACAACAGTTAGAAATGTGATAAACCCTGCAACACGATCATACATGAAATCATTTGCGCACATTGAGAAACCTAAGCTGAGGTGTATTTGTTCATGTAAACTCAGCACCGATGCTAAATTCAGAGGGAAGTTCAGAGCACCACCCTGGGGCAGGACCCACAGCTCTCCCACACTGGCTTGTACCCCTGCCCTTCAGTGTGCCAAGCCCCCTAAGCCTCCTCCAGGTAGCTGCTAGCTGAGGGGTCTGTGGCCTTGGCCTGGGCCTCAGGGAAGCCTGGAAGGGAAACAGATGAGGGCAGGCAAGGTGCAGGCAGCTGTGCCGTAAGCATTGCTCCTGCAGCCTTGGCCAGGCTGCAGTGGGCACCAGAACCTGTCAGCCCTCCTGGTGGGAGGCGGACTGGAGGGGGGCTGCAGCCCTTCCTGTGAAATCCCACCTGAGCTCCTGGACCACTGCTCAGCTGGCACACCTGGGTGCTTCTGAGACAATAACAATCATTCATTCATCCATAGCTATTAACTGAGAGTCGACCTTGGCACTCTCCTAGGTGCTGGGAATACCACAGTGAACAAAACAGGCATGGCTCTGCCTTCTTGGAGTTTTATAGCGTAGTGGGATAGACAAACAAATGTGTAACTTCAAATTATAACAAGAACCGTGAAAGAAAAAAGGGTGCCATAAGGGAGAGAACCTAGGAAAGAAAACAGGGTGCCATAGGGGGAGAACCTATCTTAAATGGGTGGTCAGGAAGGCCTCTCTAATGAGGTGACAATTTGCTGAGATCTGCTGGCCATTCTGCAGGAACAGCATCCCAAGTGGCAGGGACACCATAGGCAAAGACCCTAGAGTGTGGGACTGAGAAGCAGAAGGGAGGCCAGAGCAGCTGGAGCACCGGGGGAGGTGAAGATGTGGGGAGGTAGAGATCCCCTGGGAGGCAGGTGGGTGAGGGAGTAGGAATCCCCCGGGAGACAGGTGGGCGGGGCTGGGACAGGCCTGTCAGGGCCCTGGAGTCTCTTTTCCTTTTGACTGTTTACTTGGAAATAATCCCAAATTTACAAAAAGTTGCTCAAACAGAAATAGCACAAAGAAAGCTACACTCTGGCCAGGTGCAGTGGTTCACATCTGTAATCGCAGCACTCTGGGAGCCCAAGATGGACAGATCACTTGAGGCCTGGAGTTTGAGACCAGCCTGGCCCACATAGCAAAATCCTGTCTCTACTAAAAGTTAAAAAAAAAAAAATTAGCTGGGTGTGGTGGCACATGCCTGTAATCCCAGCTGCTGCAGAGGCTGAGGTGGGAGGATCGTTTGAACCCCAGGAGGCAGAGGTTTCAGTGAGCTGAGATTGTGCCACTGCACTCCAGCCAGGGCGACAAAATGAGACTATGTCTCAACAACAACAACAATAAAAGAACACCATATACTCTAACTCAGACTCAGCTATTTGCTCACTCTTTCTCTACACGGATGCACACGCACATACACACATGCACACATACACATGTGTGCTTTGTTTTTCTGAACCATGTGAGGGTCAGTCACATACGTCATGGCCCTCTACCCTTAACTATTCCAGTATATTTCCTAAGAAGGGGGATATTCTCTTCCATAACCATAGTAATCAGCTTCATAAATTTCCATTAATGCAATATCTTCACCTGTTTATATCTTATTAATATAATATCTTAATCTGTTTATATCTGATTTTCTCAATGGACCCAATAATGACCATTATAGCACTCCCCCCCCCCCATTCTCCCAGCCCCACCAAATACAGAATCCAGTCTAGAGTAAGGTATTAACTTTAATACCTTTTGTCATGTCTTTTAATCTGGAACATTTCAAAGGTCTTTTATGACTGATACTTTTCAAGAATACAGCCTTTCCCCTTGTTAGTAACATGTTCCTCATTTTGTGTTTGTCTGATGTTTTCTCATGATTAGATTGGGTTCTGCAGTCTCAGCTAGAATCCCACCTAGGGGATAGGTCCTTTTCAGGGTATCACATGTGGAGGCATGAGTGATATTAATTTTGATCACCCAGTCAATATGTTGCCCAGTATAATTACTGTTATTTTCTTCCCCTGCAACTAATAAGCAGTCTATAAGGAAACCCTTTAAGACAATGCAAACGTCCTGTGCATACTCAAAATTTCCCCCTGCATTTAGCATCCACTGATTGAATCTTTACCATGAAAATGATGATTTTCCAACTCTAGCACTTTTTCCATATTTAAGTGTAGCCTCAGCATTCTACTGTAGGCAAGAGCCCTATCTGCTACCTCATTTATTTGTTTACCAACTTATTATCAGTATGATCTCATGAGTTCCTTTTTTAATGGTTTTAATTCATTATAACACATAATTGCTTTGGTGCTCAGATTGTCCCAGATTTGGCCAGTGGGAGCCCTTCCATCTGGCCCCTGTGTCCTGTGACATCTGAGGTTCCTATTTGTGTGTTATGCTTTTGCAATTCTCTTTGCTTCTCAAAGCTCTTTGTCTTCTGTTATTTTCTTGGAGTTGAGAACCATGCAACATAAGCGCTGAGAGGGCAGTTAAGATCATCCTAATACATCCCTTTAGTTTGGTCGTTGAGAAAACTGAGGCTCTGAGAAGGGAAGTGGCTTGCCAAGGCCACATTGTGAGTTGGAGAAGACTTGGGTCAGAACTCAGAATTAGGCCATGCCTGAGTGAACATAAACAATGACATCTGCCCATTTAGATCACCTACTATGGGGTAGACACTGTGCTAGATGCTTCTTTACATACACATGTGTGTTTAATCCTCACAACATCTGTGATGTAAGCATTGCAGAAGCAGGTGCCAAGCCCCGAGTTAAAATACTTAACTTTCCCAGAGTCATCCACCCAGAAGATGGAGTAACCGGGGTCCAAATTCAAGTCTCAGGGATGCGGGGATGTGTATCTGCTGGAGTCAGTGGTGGGATATGGGGATGTGATCAGCTATAACTGATGTGCTTGGCCTGTCCAGGCTACTCCTTGGCCGGATGAGCATTGATTCTCCACAGCAAAGGAACAGGATTGCGGTGGAGAGGGCAGGGCATCATAGCCTCAGACGGTCTGGGCTATCGACCTTAGACCCTGTGTGTAACCCACACCTGGCCCCAAATTCTGATGCCCAGCTGCCACCTCCAGCCTGGGCCAGCAGAGCCACCCAGGGAGGAGGGTAGAACCAAGGAGCTGCCATCTCTCAAGGAGGGTGTTTGGGAATCTCTTGGCACTACAGCCCAGTGGTTTAAATAGGCTAAGGTGGGGGCCCACCTCGGGTCCCCCCCAGCGCCTCCCTTTCTAGAGAGGCCCTTATGAAGGAACTGGAGGCTCTGCCCGCAGCGTTACCTTGCCCAGCCCCAGGGTTCAGATGTGGGGGTGGGGGTGGGGGAACCGGGTTAGGATGGTGGAGCAGGGAGACGCGCCAGTGGCGGGGAAGACTGAGGGGCTACCCCGGCCTTCCTGGCCCAGACCCAGGGCTGGGACGAACCTTCGCCAGACCACCGAGTCCCGGGCTGCACTGTCCCCGCAGGCTTCCAGGACGTGCACGTGATGGTCTTCGTGGGCTTCGGCTTCCTCATGACTTTCCTGCAGCGCTACGGCTTCAGCGCCGTGGGCTTCAACTTCCTGTTGGCAGCCTTCGGCATCCAGTGGGCGCTGCTCATGCAGGGCTGGTTCCACTTCTTACAAGACCGCTACATCGTCGTGGGCGTGGAGAAGTGAGCGCAGGGCGGGCCCCGGGGGCGTGGCGGACTGGGAGGGATGGGGCTGGGCAGGTGAGCCTGAGGGAGGAGGGCGTGCCCATCGGCGGGACCCGGGCTTGAGGCTGGAGGGCAACTCCTCCTTTGGGCCACACTGGGCTTGCGAGACAGATACACACACACACACACACACACACACACACACACACACACACACTCTCTCTCTCTCTCTCTCTCTCTCTCTCTCTCTCTGTCTCTCTCTCTCTCTCACTTCGCTTCCTGATCAGCGATTCTCCAGGGTGGGAGTCGTCCAAGTGTCATACATAGGAGGGTCTCCCTTCCCCTACGACAAAGGCTGCAGGGACTTGAGGCTAGACTTTCCTCTGGGGGCAGGGTCCGACCGGGCCCGGCACATCAAAATCGCCCAGCCCTGTGTCCTGAGAGACCGCAGCCCACGGGACTCTGGTGGGAGAACTGGGATGTCTGCACCAGCCTCAGAGGCTCCTTGTGAAGGAAACACCGAATGGGGACTCCAGCCAAATGGAGGTACCTCTCTCCCTGCCTTGCTTCACCGCCCCCACCCACCCCAGGGAACAGGTGCTGGAAACAGCTGTGAGACAGGTGTGGGTGTGGAGTGTTAGGGCTGAAGCCCTGCCCCCTCCTCAGCTTCCACGGGTGGAGCACCCTACTGTCACTTCTCAGCTCCATCCTTCTCATGACTTCTCTATGATGACTTGGCCTGATGAGCACCACCAGCCCCTTCTTGTCAGGTGACTCAGCCCCTCCCTCTGTTCTGCAGTGACCTCCTCCAAGCCTCAACACACCTCCCCAACCCACAACACCACCAACAGGTTATAAAATAAATTCACCCAAAGCCAACTTGCCAAAAAAATCAATGGAGAAAGTGGTCAGCTCACTGAATGACTCATTTATCAAACTCTCTATCCCATGGCAACTTATGAAACCTATAGCAATTTGTGTTGCTCTGGTCCTACTCAAGAACCTTTGGGAGATTTTTCCTGCTTTAGCCAAGTTTTAGTTTATTGGAGGTTCTTCTTTAAGTCCAGTTTAGACAGACTTTTATTTCTGTAGACATATGAAAAGGTCAGCTAAAGAAAAAAAAATGTTTTCCTCCATTCTCCCATCCTTCAAGAAAAAAAATTAATTTGAGAAAAGTAATCATTGGTGTGTGAAAATGAACATTCATTAGCTCACTCATAAACTGTCCACAGAAAGGGCTTAGAGGCAAACTGGTATAAACCACCTTTAAAGGGCAAATCCCTGCTGTTACTCTTAGGATACCAACGAGGTATGATAGCCAGGTGTCTGAAATCTAGGACACATGTCAAATATTTGCAAAAAGTTACTTCATCCAAACCAGATAATTAATCCATGAATTAAGAGAAACAGGAAAGATAGTTGACTGGATATGTGTTGGAACCAGTAAACAAGTCTTTTTGTTTATAAGACCCTTGACATGCATATCACCCCGAAGTTCAAAATGCACAAGAAATTATCATTCCCAAAACCATAGATCCAAAGTATAAAAACACCTGTAATATATATCATTGGCCACCACAGCAAAATAGCTATGGCTAAATGAATTTTTTTTAATCTCAAAAAAATTCAAAGGGAATTATTACAAACCGTGAGTTAACAGGCTTTTGGTGAAGCAGTTGTTCAGCAAGTTGGTCACTTGAAAAACTGAGTTTGGACAAATTGGCTCTCAGGAGATTGATTTTTCAGCACCTGACTTGGAGCTGATTTCTGGTGCCCGGGGCTGGGATGAGCATATTGTCCCCAGACCTGACCTTGTGGATCCAGAGATGTGGACCCTCCCCCTGGCTTCTGGCCTGTCCCTGCTGAAGAGTCTTCTAAGTCCCACCTGTCACTGTAGAAAGTGCCCCTCTTCAGGCCCTGCCCAAGCTTCCTCGGCCCTCCTGAGATGTGGCATCTGGATCTCCATCTCCCAAATGCTGATAGCCCAAGGGATGGGCCTTTCTGTTCTCTCTCTCCATTTTTTTTTTTTTTTTTTTTGAGACTGAGTTTTGCTCTATCACCCAGGCTGGAATGCAGTGGTGCGATCTTGGCTCGCTGCAACCTCCACTTCCTGGGTACAAGTGATTCTCATGCCTCAGCCTCCTGAGTAGCTAGGATTACAGGTGTCTGCCACCAAGCCCAGCTAATTTTTGTATTTTTAGTAGAGATGGGGTTTCACCATGTTGGCCAGGATGGTCTTGAACTGCTGACCTCGTGATCCACCTGCCTCGGCCTCCCAAAGTGCTGGGATTACAGGTGTGAGCCACCATGGCCGGCCTCTCTCTCTCTCCTTTCTAATGGTCACTTCTATCAAGATGAATCTTCCAGCTGCAGTTATGGGATCTTGGGCAAAAAACTTAGCCTCTCTAATTCTCCATGTCTCATCTAAATGATGTGGCTAATGACAGTGCCTGTCTTGTATGGCTCAGGGATGGCACAGGAGGGCATATACAGTACTTAGTAGATACCCCAGAGCCTAGCACTTAGGAACTGCCATCGATCATTTAGCCAGGCCCTGCACTAGGCCCTGGGGACACAGCGGTGAATGAGGCAATAGTGGAGTGGACAGTCCAGTGAACTGGCCCTACAATTAGTTTCATTCTCACTCCTCACCCCATTCTCTCTCTCATACACACAGCCCTGAGCATGGAAGGGGAAGGGAGTCCTTTCTAGATGTGACAGACCCCCCACCCACCCCATCAACAACTCTCCCGGCCTAAGAGCCACACTGAGGGTCTTGCCTTGGAATCCAGAGGGCAGCTTTGCTGCTGGCAGGGGACAAGGAGGCCAGGCTTGGGCAAAGTGGGCACATGGATGGAATCAGGGTCTACACAATGTCCACTCAGCTGTCTGCCTCTTCATCAGCCCTCTGCTGGGCTGGCAGGGTGTTCAGGGTCCAGGCTTGAGCAGGACCTATGTACCTGCCCCTTTGCCTCCATCCTCCCTGCTGGCCTTCCTGCTCCCTCCTTCCATCCAGTACCACCCCAGCTCCCTCCTTCCTGCAGGAAGGCCCCCCTGTCTCTTCCCTGGACATAGATCCTCTTCATGGGTAAGGTAAAGGAAAGATCCCAATAACAAGGCCCTGGTTACCAGCAGAAGAGGTGTGTGCAGAGTGAGAGATAAGGATCTGGAGGCAGAAACTGCATCTGGTTGGAGGAAACAGGAAGACTTCCTGAAAGAGGAGGCAGTAAAAGGAGGTTCTGGAAAAGCAGGTAGAAGCTACAGGGCAGGGAAGGACCCCAAATATGGGGCATGTTCAACAATAGCAACCAGACCACATGGTGCCCTGAGCCCAAGCTGTCTGCAAGCAGCGGGGGCCTGAGATGGGCTGCATGGGAGGTGGGCATCTGGTGTGTGCTGCTGTACTAGTCCTGTCTCGTGTGGTTTCTTTTCATTCTTGGAGTAGCTCTAAATGTTAGGTGCCCATTAGTGTAGATGATGAAACTGAAGCTCAGAAAGGTTAAGCCACAAGCCCAAATCCATATATGACCAAAGTCCAGGGCCTCCAGTGCCACTTTTTGCTATTGCCCCAGCTTCTCCACTGGCCTGTCTCCCCACAGCCTCATCAACGCTGACTTCTGCGTGGCCTCTGTCTGCGTGGCCTTTGGGGCAGTTCTGGGTAAAGTCAGCCCCATTCAGCTGCTCATCATGACTTTCTTCCAAGTGACCCTCTTCGCTGTGAATGAGTTCATTCTCCTTAACCTGCTAAAGGTGAGCAGGGCTCAGAATGGGGATGAGGTGGTGGGGGTGCTTTGGGGGACAGCAGGGTATGGAGAAATAGACAGCTGGGGAGACATGCCAGCCTGGCGAGTCACTTAACTTCCTGAACGTCACTCAGTTTTCTCATCTCTAAAGTGGGAGTAATAATATCTACCAGGCAGGTACTACAGTCCACCTAGCCCATCAATCCAGCACGTGGACAGAGCAGGGCTTCCTTGAATGTTGTTTTTTTCCCCCTCCTTTCTTTCCCACACATCACATGGAATGAATAGGATATCCCTGCACATACTCTTGCACACATACCACATTTCCAGATTCCTCTGCCAAGAAAAGGAATCCGGTGTATTGAAGGGGCAAATCTGTAGGACAGGATCCCAGGTGAATGGCCAAGGTGGCCATGGTGTGTACGACACAGCACCAGAGCTGCCATTCACATGGGCCATGACAGGAGTGCTGCTCCCTCGGGGAGGTCAATTCAGTGGCTCAGATAAGAGGCACCTTAGACCTCTGACTCTATCTCAGAAGCCTCCTTGGTGCCTTTGGACAGTAGGGGATCTCACGTAGAAACTGCACCCTTTTCTTAGCACCCTCCTCTTCTACGTTTGGACTCTGTCTGGAACTCCCCCTCCTTGGCAGGGAGTGATTTAGGTCACCCTAAATTCAGTCATTCATTTTGTAATTTTTTTCAGCTACCAGATTAGTCCAAGCTACCATATCTCTTCCTCCTGACTCATCTCCCCGGCTGCATTCTTGCCTTCCTTGCCCCTAAGGAAAGTCATCTTCAGCAGCCAGAGTGCCCTATAAATAATGCATAGAGAAGAGGCCAGGCACTGTGGCTCATGCCTGTAATCCCAGCACTTTGAGAGGCTGAGACAGGCGGATCACCTGAGGTCAGGGGTTCGAGACCAGCCTGACCAACATGGAGAAACCCCGTCTCTACTAAAAATACAAACTTAGGCCAAGCACGGTGGCTCACGCCTGTAATTCCAGCACTTTGGGAGGCCGAGGCAGGCAGATCACCTGAAGTCAGGAGTTCGAGACCAGCCTGGCCAACATGGCGAAACCCTGTCTCTCCTTAAAATACAAAAATTAGCTGGGTGTAGTGGCGCATGCCTGTAATCCCAGCTACTCTGGAGGCTGAGGCAGGAGAATCGCTTGAACCCAGGAGGCACAGGTTGTGGTGAGCCGAGATCACGCCATTGCACTCCAGCCTGGGCAACAAGAGCAAAACTCCATCTCAAAAAAACAAACAAACAAACAAAAAAAAACAAATAAATAAATAGTGCATAGAAGACCATTCACCCACTGAAAATCTATCAGCAGTTTTAACATTTCATTCAGGAGAAAATCCAAACTTGTTATAAGGCACTTCCTGTTCTGGCGCCAACTTTTCTCTCCACATGTTGTCTACTCTCTCCCCATCTTATTGTCTACTCTCTCCCCATCTTCCTGTGCTTTGTCATACTGTGCTGTCTGCTCTTCAGGCACAAAGCTGGGTCCCACATCAAGGCCTTTGCAATTGCTGTTCCCTTTGCCTCCAAGGGTCATCTCTCAGTCCTTTGCATTACTGAATCTCAGTATGCGTATCCCCTCTTTTTTTTTTTTTCTGAGATGGAGTCTCACTCTGTTGCCCAGGCTGGAGTGCAGTGGCATGATCTCAGCTCACTGCAACCTCTGCCTCCCGGGTTCAAGCGATTCTCATGCCTCGGCCTCCCAAGTACCTGGAATTACAGGTGCACACCACCATGCTCAGCTAATTTTTGCATTTTAAATAGAAACGGGGTTTCGCCATGTTAGCCAGGCTGGTCTTGAACTCCTGACCTCAGGTGATCCGCCTGCCTTGGCCTCCCAAAGTGCTGGGATTACAGGCATGAGCCACCACTGTGCCTGGCTTACCCCTGTTTTATAGATGAGAAAGCTGAGGCTCAGAGGGGTTAAGGGGCTCACCTAAGGTCACACAGCTAGTAGAGGCATCTGCTAGGCTGGGAGTCGAGAATCCCAGCCCTGTCAACAACCAGTTCTATGACCTTGGATGACACACTTACCTCTCTGGCTGGGTTTCCCCCATCTAAAGTGAAGGAGTGAGTCTGTGATTCTATTCATCTGAAATTGGTTCTAGGTGGGGAGGAAGGAGGAGGTAAAAGAGAAGGAGAGGTGAGTGTGAGGGGGACAAACATCAATCTGGCACCTGTTAAGTGCCAGGCCCTCGCCAGGGGCAAGTTGCCTGCATGAATCCTGACAACAGCCCTGCTAAGGCACTAGCAGGTGGTGTAAATGCAGAGCTTGTCAAATGAGAGGCACAGAGGTGGAAACCAGTGGGTGACAAAGCAGGTAGGTTGTTTCCCTCAGTTCTGCCTCTGCCTTACCTCCTCCAGCAGTATGAGCAAGTCTGTCTCCAGGCCTGGGTTTCCCCATCTGGGAACAACCAAATCTGCTGGGTGAGGACACCCTGGCATTTTGCTGATGGGAATCCCTACCTTCTCCCCATTACCAGTTGATTGGTCCGTGAAGGCCCCAGGCTCCATCCTGCACCCTGAAGAGTCCGAGAAGGCTGGAGCTCTGGGCGTGTGTGTGTGTGGCAAGACAGGGACGGCAATGAGGAGGGAGGGAGAGAAGGTGCCAGAGTCTGACAGGCCCCTTGCACCCCAGGTGAAGGATGCAGGAGGCTCCATGACCATCCACACATTTGGCGCCTACTTTGGGCTCACAGTGACCCGGATCCTCTACCGACGCAACCTAGAGCAGAGCAAGGAGAGACAGAATTCTGTGTACCAGTCGGACCTCTTTGCCATGATTGGTGAGAACTGCCATCATGACCGAGGGCCACCATGATGGGTGAAGGTGGCCATGATGGGTGAAGGCAGCCATGATGGGTGAAGGCCACCATGATGGGTGAAGGCCACCATGATCAGACCTGATCCCCACGTGGTATGGTGCATGGCTGCCAGTTCTTTTTGGGGGAAGGGCAAACAGAGTTTGCCTATAGATACTTCTAGAATCCCATATGTCTGTCCCCCTTCCCCATGAAGCTGAAAGAAGTTGGTCACTCATCCTGTATTTCCCCTAGAATGCCCCAAGGCAGACACAGTGGTAACCAGGAGCTGCTCACTCCATCCCCTGGGCTAGGGCAAGATGTGCATTTCCACTTCCTGTGTCCATTCATTCCAGAGAAGACACTGACCACAGCCATTCTGGTCTCTCAAAACCCAGCCCTGCCCTCCAGGAGCTCCTCACAGCGTAGTGGAAGAGAAAGCAGTGCCATGTGGAGGATCTCCCTACAGTAGAGAAAAGATTCTCCCTCCTGGCGCTGTGGGAACAGGGTGGGGGCATTTAGCCCAGAAATGGGGGTCAGGGTAGACTTCCTGGAGTGGTGTGGAAGGCTAAGTGGGGGGTAAGGAAGGCAGGGAGGGCCTTCCAGGAAGAGCCCCTGCATGACTAAAGCTGCAGAGGTGGAAACAGCTGGGTGTGGGGTCATCTCTAGAGCTAAAGGACAGGATGCCTGCCTGAGCTGTGGGGCTGTATCTAATGCCTCTCCTCCCGGGCCCATTGGGCCTGTCTGGTCTGACCAGGCACCCTCTTCCTGTGGATGTACTGGCCCAGCTTCAACTCAGCCATATCCTACCATGGGGACAGCCAGCACCGAGCCGCCATCAACACCTACTGCTCCTTGGCAGCCTGCGTGCTTACCTCGGTGGCAATATCCAGTGCCCTGCACAAGAAGGGCAAGCTGGACATGGTGAGCATGAGGGCGTTGGGGGTGTGGCTCTGACTGCCTGGGCCTGGAGGGCGCTGATCACCATGCCTTGCCAACACCTCTGAGGGGATCATCACACCCATCTTGCAGATGAGGTTGGGGGAGAAATGATTTGTTTTGAGCACATGGCCAGTTTTCAGCAGCACCCAGAGCAAGGATATTCTTTATCTTGTTTTTTTTTGTTTTGTTTTGTTTTGTTTTTTTGAGATGGAGTCTCGCTCTGTCACCCAGGCTGGAGTGCAGTGGCGCTATCTCGGCTCACTGCAACCTCTGCATCCCAAGTTTAAGCAATTCTCTTGTCTCAGTTTCCCAACTAGCTGGGACTGCAGGTGCAGGCTACCACGCCCAGCTAAGTTAGCTAATTTTTGTATTTTTAGTAGAGATGGGGTTTCACCATATTCGTCAGGCTGGTCTCAAATTCCTGACCTCAGGTGATCCACCCACCTCAGCCTCCCAAAGTGCTAGGATTACAGGTGTAAGCCACTGCGCCGAACCTATCTTATAATCTGACACAAGCGTCTTGACGTGGGCATATGTGTGCTGAGACACTGTCTGGAGTATCGATTATTTGGGGACACTATCACCATGCAGAGAGGTGGGGATTCAGGCACCTGGGGAAGAGAATCAGACACACAGACTGGCACACCTGTGTGTATCCACACCCACCTGCAGGAAGGGACATGGAATAGGGTCAAGGACAGGGACTCTGGGGCCACACAACCTGGATCAAGACACCTTTCTGCCTCTTGCTAGCTCTGTGGTCTTGGACAAGTCATTTAACCCCCCTCACCTCAGTTTCGCCATCTGCAAATGTTGCAAGATAACTGTCCTCACCTTGCAGACTTGTTGTAGAGATGGAAAGCGCTAACCCCTACAGCCAGCAGCACGGTACCTGGTACAGGTTAGCATTCAGACAGCAGCAGCTGGTGCGTGCCTATGTCTAGACCCCATAGGCACTTGACGTGGACTTGCATCCATGGCAAGAACGTTCAGACATGCTAGTCTGGGCACACAGGTATACATGGTATACATAAAACAACAGTGTGCTTGTTGTCAGGGCTCACCAGCAAGTGCACCAGCACATGGAAAATGCCCAGACCTACTAGGCGGGATGGGTGGCATGTGCAGAGAGGCACAGGGAGCAGCTGTAGCAAGCCTGGGTGGGGCTGAAGTCCTCTGCAGGCTCCTGGCTTGCTGAGGTGAACTCCCAGCCATCCCCGGCTCCCAGGAGCCAGGCTGCACCCTTGCACAGCCAGCAAGTGAGCTCCTCCAGGCCCGGTGCTCCAGGGAGAGGACTGAGTTCCTGCCTGCTCTGCCTGCCCTGCCCAGGTGCACATCCAGAATGCCACGCTCGCAGGAGGGGTGGCCGTGGGTACCGCTGCTGAGATGATGCTCATGCCTTACGGTGCCCTCATCATCGGCTTCGTCTGCGGCATCATCTCCACCCTGGGTTTTGTATACCTGACCGTAAGTGCCCCAGGCAAGGGGCTGGGGGCTAGAGAATGCTGAGGTCTTTGTGTTCCTGACAGTGAGCTGAGGGTTCCTAGGGAGGGGGCTGAGGGCTAGAGAATCCTGGGTCTCTGGAATCCCGGCCTCCCCACACCCTTGATGCAGCCCCCGGCCTGAGCAGCACCCACCTCCCGTCTCCAGCCATTCCTGGAGTCCCGGCTGCACATCCAGGACACATGTGGCATTAACAATCTGCATGGCATTCCTGGCATCATAGGCGGCATCGTGGGTGCTGTGACAGCGGCCTCCGCCAGCCTTGAAGTCTATGGAAAAGAAGGGTAAATGTGGAGGAGGTGCGGTGGGATGGAGCTTCCCCCTTCCTTCTCCCATCCCTTCTTCCTGCTATTCCTCTGGGACCCGACTGCATCTTTCTCCCTTTCCTTCCCCACTCTGGACCAATTGTTTCATGGGTCTCTCTCCCCAAACTCTGTCCCTTAGAGTTTTAGAGGCCAACTGATATGTCCGGTGTCCCCATGTTGTGGGTGGGAAGGCTGAGGCCCGTGGTACCCGGTCACATTTTTGGGGTGGCAGCAAGCTGTTACTTGGCCTCTCCATGGGGCCCTGACCTGCCCCCTGTCTCCACCCCAGGCTTGTCCATTCCTTTGACTTTCAAGGTTTCAACGGGGACTGGACCGCAAGAACACAGGGAAAGTTCCAGATTTATGGTCTCTTGGTGACCCTGGCCATGGCCCTGATGGGTGGCATCATTGTGGGTGAGCAGGAATGGCTGAGCCAGAGAAGGGGGGTGCTGCTGTGGGGCTCCCTGGGTGGAGAAGCAAAGGGCATGCGGCACAGGTCAGCCTGAGCCCCCAGGAATCCCTGATCTCTGCACTTCTGGCTACAGGACTGGGACAATTTGGAACTCAGCCCAAGGGCCCCAGGAGGATTTTCCCAGCTGAGGGAAATGGCTGGGGTGAGCAGAGAGAAGGCACTTCCTGACATCCTGTAATCTCCAACTTTCTGTAGGGCTCATTTTGAGATTACCATTCTGGGGACAACCTTCAGATGAGAACTGCTTTGAGGATGCGGTCTACTGGGAGGTGAGTTCCAGGGACTTGGCCCCCTGAAGGAGGGCAGCTGCGTTCCCTCCCTGCCTCCACTGCATCAGCTGGGCTGGGGCCTGGGGACCCAGATGCCGGGGGTGGGGGTCAGAGCCTACATTACCCTACTTCTTCATCGGGGGAGGCTGTGTCTCATGGAGGTTGAAGACTCTTCCCTCTAGACCCCAGGGCTTGGAGTGGGTGATGTGTACCTCTCTTTCTGCACACCCTAGAGGGGGTGACAGAAGCAACCTATAGTCAGGGCTACAGCTGGAGTTTACTCTTGTCCCTAAAGACTCAGTCAGCTTTATTCTAGAGCAGTGGTCCCCATGGTATGGTGCCCGGCACCATCAGCATCACCTACAGACTGGTTAGAAATGCAAATTCTCATGGGTGCCGTAGCTCACAACTGTAATTCCCACACTGGAAGGCTGATGCAGGAGGACAGCTTGAGCCTGGGGGTTTGAGACTAGCCTGGGCAACATAGGGAGACTCTGTCTCTACAAAAAATAATAGAAAACTTATTCAGACATGGTGGAATGCGTCTGTAGTGCCAGCTACTCTGGAGGCTGAGGCAGGAGGATCGCTTGAGCCCAGGAGGTGGAGGCTAAAGTGAGCCATGATGGCGCCACTGCACTCCAGCCTGGGCAATAGAGCAAGATCCCGAGAGAGACAGGGAGAGAGAGAGAAGCGGAGGGGAGGGGAGGGAAGGGAGAAGAGAATGAGAGAGAGAGAGAGAGAGCGAGAGCAAGAGAGAGAGAGAGAAATGCAAAGTCTTAAGTTCCTCAGACATCCTGATTCCAAAACAAGGGGGCGGGCCCAGCACTCTGGTTTAACAAGCCCCAGGTGGTTCTGATGACAAACAAGTCTAAGCACCACTGTATTTGAGCAGCGGTTTTCGCGCTAAGATGCACACTGGAATCACCTAGGGAGCTTTGACAGCATTCCAAAGCCCAGGCCCCAGCCCACAGAGACTTGGATTTAACTGCTCTGGGGTAGGGTCTAGACATTAGAATTTTTTTAAAGCTTCCTCGGGGATTCTAACACCCAGCCTGGGTTAGGAATCACAGTGCAGTGCTCAGCTTCAGTCTCCATGAGAACCACCTGGAGACCTTCCCAGGCACCACCCCAGAGGTTCTGATTCAGTAGGGACCGGGACTCTGCAACTGACAAGCTCCCAGGTGATTCCAATACAGAAACTGAGTTCTGGACTGGGCGCAGTGGCTCATGCCTATAATCCCAGCACTTTGGGAGGCCGAGGCGGGCAGATCACCTGAGGTCAGGAGTTCGAGACCAGCCTAGCCAACATGGCAAAACCCTGTCTCTACTAAAAATACAAAAAAAATTAGCCGGGCTCAGTGTCTCATGCCTATAATCCCAGCTACTCAGGAGGTTGAGGCAGGAGAATCACTTGAACCCTGGGGCGGGGGGGCAGAGGTTGCAGTGAGCTGTGATTGCGCCACTGCCCTCCAGCCTGGATGACAGAGTGAGACCAAAAAGGAAGAAAAAAAAGGAAGGAAAGAAAAGAAGGAAAAAGGAAGGAAGGAAGGAAAGAAGGAAGGAAGGCAGGCAGGCAGGAAGGCAGGCAGGCAGGAAGGAAGGAAGGAATGAAGGAAGGCAGGCAGGAATGAATGAAGGCAGGCAGGCAGGAATGAATGAAGGCAGGCAGGCAGGAAGGCAGGAAGGCAGGCAGGAAGGAAGGAAGGCGGGCAGGAAGGAAGGCGGGCAGGAAGGAAGGAAGGCGGGCAGGAAGGAAGGAAGGCAGGCAGGCAGGAATGAATGAAGGCAGGCAGGCAGGAATGAATGAAGGCAGGAAGGCAGGAAGGCAGGCAGGCAGGAAGGAAGGCAGGCAGGAAGGAAGGAAGGCAGGCAGGAAGGAAGGCAGGCAGGAAGGAAGGCAGGCAGGCAGGAAGGAAGGCAGGCAGGAAGGAAGGCAGGCAGGAAGGAAGGCAGGCAGGAAGGAAGGAAGGCAGGCAGGAAGGAAGGAAGGCAGGAAGGAAGGCAGGCAGGAAGGAAGGCAGGCAGGAAGGAATGAACGAAGGCAGCAGGCAGGCAACTGAGTTCTGCAGCATCCCACCCCTTTCAGCAGTTGAGGAACATTGTTCTAGATATGAAAGTGGTGGAATGTCACAGAACTCAGTTTCCTTAAAAACATGCCACAATCTGGGCTTTCTGTGACTTCAGGCTGGCCTCTCCCCATGAATCATGATTGGAGGTGCCCACCTGCCATTGGATGATGCAGGATGGCAGGACTCCCCTCATGCCTCCTGCACTGTCCTCTCATGACAAGGGTGAGGACCCGCCTGTGTCTGTGGCTCCTGGGACAAGGGGCCACCCATAATGCCTTTCACTTAGCTCTGTATTTTTAAAACCATACCAGAAGTTTTAAGGGTAATTTTAACTACTATCTACTATAAGGTAACTTCATGCACATAACGAATGTCTCTTAAATTAACTCTTTAAAAATGTTTTTAATTAAAAATGACTAGGCGCTCATTAAAGAAAATCTGGAAATACAGTAAAATAGAAATCCTGTCACCCTATGTCAAGCAATATTAATATTTTCTGGTATATTTCCTTTCTATCTTTTTTCTCTGCATAGATTTTTCTTACACGGTTGAAATTGTATTATTCACCCAATTTAGTATCCGTCTCTTTCTCCTTACCACTCTATCATAAGAATTGTTCTGTGTTATTACATTCCTAATAAACTTTCTTTTCTCACAGGATAATTATTTCTATTCTATATTTAAGAAAGTCAGAACTTAAACTATTTTAGACACCACAATTAGAAACCAACAGATTTTACGCTAACGAAATAAATCAGAAATGTTATCAGTTCCCCCATGTAGAAGTTCCCTCTTGGTTCTGTTTTGATCTTTATAATTTATTCCAAGTTCACACCTCTCAGCTCTATATACCTTGAGCAGTACAGACGTCCCCCAGTAACCTCAGGGGATTGGTTACAGGATCTCTTGCGGGGATGCTCAAGTCCCTGATATAAAATGGCATAGTATTTGCATAAAAGCCTACATGTATCCTCCCACATATTTTAAGTAATCTGTAGATTACTTGTAATACCTAACACAATGTAAATGCTGTATTGTTTTTTGTTTTTATTATTTTTATTGTTATATTGTCATTTTTTGTTGTTGCTTTTTCTAAATATTTTCAACCTGTGATAGGTGTAACCTGCTGATACAAAACCCATGGGTATGGAGGGCTGGCTGTACCTGGTTGGGAATAACAAAATTCTGTGCCAATGGAAGGAACACTATCAGGCAGTCCCTGAGGCCCTGAGTGGTTTACCTTGGGAGTGAGGTGGCTTCTCAGAGGATGGGGATTGGACCAGTGTTCCCCAGGACCACAGATGGGGCAAGGGCAGGGCTGACCTGCCCTGCCTGCCCTCCACCTCTCTACCCACTTCTGGCCTTCCCTGCACCTTCCCCACCCCATTTTCGGACCTGTCTGCAGTTTACAGAGCTTGCCATACTACCTTTTACCGCCTCTGCCCCTTACTCCAATTCATCTTTTAAAAGTGGGTTCAGCACAACTTCTCAGCATCCCCCAGGCTGGGTTATAAGCCTGTTGTGTGCATTTGCAACTCTTACTGTCACTGGGTATTTCACTGCAATGCCTCACCATTGCTCTCATGGGGCAAGGACACTGTCTCCTCCTTGCCATGCCTCAGCACCCAGGACAGTGCCTAATATAGGGTAGGGGCAGGACTCCTGTGTTGAAGGACCACCCTGCTCTCCGTGGCATGTGATCCGCACGGCGATCACAAGGTGGCGCTCGCCACACACCATTTGCAGCTCCAGGTTCTAGTCACCAGGGACACCCTTGCCTGGACTGGGACAGGGCCCTCAGAGTTGCATCCTCTCTCTGTAGATGCCTGAAGGGAACAGCACTGTCTACATCCCTGAGGACCCCACCTTCAAGCCCTCAGGACCCTCAGTACCCTCAGTACCCATGGTGTCCCCACTACCCATGGCTTCCTCGGTACCCTTGGTACCCTAGGCTCCCAGGGCAGGTGAGGAGCAGGTGAGCATGGGCTTGGCTTGGGGGATGACAGGGAGGTTCTCCCAGTGGGGGCCCAGCTCTCAGAATCAGATGTTACTAGCAAAGAGGCAAAAAGCAAACATCAAGAAATGAGGGCTTCCACCCCTCCTGCCTGAGGTGCAGTGGGCACATGGGGTTGGCAGGGGAGCTTCTTAGAGTCAGACAACGTGCATCCAGGACAGACACAGGAACAGGTGAAGGCACAAGGGCCTGGAAGGAATATGGAAGGAGACCTGGGGGCACACTTGGCTTTGTGACTGTGCCTGCTGGTGTGTGACTTTGAGAATCTCTTCACCCCAGAGACTGGGCCTCGATTTCCTCATCTATAAAAATGAAGCTGACACGTCTGGTTGTATTCAGTTGCTCAGCTCAGATGAGACCCACCCTCCCCTCTTTCTTTCCGTCAACTAACACTGTGCCTCCTCTGTGGAATGCACCAAGCCCTTGCTCATGGCTTTCACATCTAACCTTCCCAAGATCTCTACAAGGCAAGTAGAATTACTGCCCTCATTTTAATAGATGAGCAAACTAAGGCTCGGAGAAGTTCAGGTTCTTCAAGATCACACAACTAGCAAGTGGAGAAACTGGGGTCCTTGCTGGTCATTGTTACTGTTTTTATTATTGTTATTTAACTTCCTTGGAGGCCAGAGCTTGGCAATAGCTGGGTCTGGGGCCTGAGTGATGTGGCAAGAGAGGATGTTAGGGTGCCAGGAAAGAGGAAGGTGAGGCTATGCCCAGTTGCCTTTAATGTCCACCCCATCCAGAAAAGAAAATGGTGCCTGAGAGGCTACAGCAGGACCCGGCAGTGACCCGCTGCTCTTGGCTGTCTCCCTGCAGGCTCCACAGACTGTCCTGGGGCCCAGAGGAGCTGGTGCTGACCTAGCTAGGGATGCAAGAGTGAGCAAGCAGCACCCCCACCTGCTGGCTTGGCCTCAAGGTGCCTCCACCCCTGCCCTCCCCTTCATCCCAGGGGGTCTGACTGAGAATGGAGAAGGAGAAGCTACAAAGTGGGCATCCAAGCCGGGTTCTGGCTGCAGAAGTTCTGCCTCTGCCTGGGGTCTTGGCCACATTGGAGAAAAACAGGCTCAAAGTGGGGCTGGGACCTGGTGGG